>NC_000009.12:35161515-35313030 GCF_000001405.40 Homo sapiens | reverse complement strand
AGCATCCTTAGGGCAGAATTTTGTTCCTGCAAACCCTTCCTGCTCCACTAAGTATTTTAGAAGGCTTACCCATTCCTTTTTACATGAAAAGTGCCAAGAAAGAAAAGAAAAAAAACACACAGCCCTTTTACTGCCATGATCTGGTTCCTTGAGCTGCTTCTAGAACAACCTCAGTAAAATGAACAATACACATAACAAAATACCTTTGAGACAGAAACACTACCCTGCATTAGAACAACTCATTATCCACATTATTAACTAGAATAGTGGTTAATTCTTGGCAACAATGTTTCTCCTTTCTCTCTTTGAGGTCTACAGCCAATTCAGCAGACAAGTGTCCACCATCTAGACATGTTAAAATATATGGTCGTTTCTGATGCCAACTAAATGTGTCAACTGTTGTAAAACATTTGTGGGCACTTCTGGCCAAGGTAGAACTGGGTTTCACTCTCACAGCTAGGACCTGAGAGGACACAACCAGTAGAGAAGGACAAGGACTTGTGCTGGGCACTTCTGCTTCTCCACCAGGAACTCTGCCCTGATAACAGTGACTGCCAAGTCTAAGGTCTATGGAGAGCCAGAGTCAGTTTTTCAGTGAGTCATCAACCCAATAAGAAGCCTGGTCCACAGCTCACCTCCTGGATGTCCCATCTATTAGATGAGCTACCAGAGATGACCAAAAACCAAAAAAGGGAAGAAGAGAGAAAATAAGTTAATATCTTCAGAAAGGTTTGCGACTCATCTATTAATCCAGTGGTAAAGTAGAAGCACCAGTCACTCCCTAATTTTTACCATGTAATCTGCATTCAGTGCTCTGGTGTTTCAGTGAGAGGCTTTATTATTAGATCTTGAAATTTGAAACTCTAAGTCACACCCATCCCTTATCACTCTACCCCAGTGGGCAACTGTCCCCGCCAGGGGAAATCTGTCAGGAGACAGTTTTAATTGTCACAACTGAGGGTTGCAAGGATTGCTACTGGCATCTAGTGTGTAGAGGCCAGTGATGCTATTAAACATCCTATAATATACACAACAAAGAATAATCTGGCCCAAAATGTCACGAGTGCCGAGACTGAGAACTCTGGCTCTGCTCCAACCTATCAGCTAGTCTAACCGATTTAGCTCAGTAATAACATTCAGACTCTGTACTCAGCTTCATTATGAGATGTTAAAGAGGATACATTTTAAATTTTTCTTCCTATGGATACCAATTGGCAGACACATTGCTAGGCCCTGAGGAGGCTGAGGGGTGGGTTAAATCTGACTTCTAGATCAATTCTTTCTTAACTCTGTCCTGGGTTTCTCAGCCAGGGAAAAACAAAACAAAATGTTCACCAAAAAAGTTACAACAGAAATCACTGTTATTTTCCAATGGGATTTTCCCTAAGTTCCTCCTAATTGCCTGGTATTTTCAGGCTGATTTCTGATCCTCTAGCCCATACCAGCAGAATAGGTACCAGGTCACTGTTCTGAGTACTTCAACACACATACACATATACCTGTACATAAGTACATGCACACACACTGACCCTGACCAACCCCTTTGAACAAGTTTGGGCCAGAGGTCAAAGTAGCATTCTTAATAGGTTAGGAAGTCAGCCAAAGTACCTACCACAGCCCCAGTGGATGAAATAACCTGGCTCAAGTCAGTTCCTGACTCAGAGGCTGCCATATACAAGGTCAACTAGTAAGCTATGAACTGCAGACTCAAGAAGCCCTGGTACACTGCAGCTCACTAACTACAAAGAACCCAAGTGCTGGCTGGGTGCAGTGGCACACCGCTGTAATCCCAGCACTTTGGGAGTCTGAGGCAGGTGGATTGCTTGAGCTCAGGAGTTCAAGACCAGCCTGGGCAACATGGTGAAACCTTGTCTCTATAAACATACAATTAGCCAGGTGTGGTGGTGCACACCTAGTAGTCCCAGCTACTCAGGAAGCTGAGGTGGGAGAATTGCTTGAGACCAGGCTGTTGAGGCTGCAGTGAGCCAAGATCGTGCCAGCCTGGACAACAGAGTGAGACCCTATCTCAAAAGCAAACAAACAAAAACCCAAATATTCTTCAGAGATCTCCAAAATGTCTTGGAAAGTGCACCATAAATCAAAGGAAGCAATACAGAGTTGAGCCTGGAGGTGTTAACTACCACCATACCCAGCTGCAGGGAAACAAATGACAATCACTTATTTTCAGCAATACCACAGGGCAGGTACTGAGGAAGCCATGTGAGCTCCTCAAGGCAGCTGTTGCCTACCTCTCCTGGGGACCTAGGAAGTGGTCTTTTTGCAGCACCAGATCTGGGGGAGGGTGGGTTGTGGCATCTTCTTTCATCTCCTTGGGTTCACATGCTGCCTCCTTCTCTGCTTGACCTGTCACCTCCAAGGGTTTCTCTTGTTCTCCAAAACCTGCTTGGCCATCTCTGGACAGGCTGTGAGAGCTGTGGCAAGAATGAATCGAGTCCGTCTCCCGATGGTCGTCATCTTGTTCGTGATACTGGTCTAGTTCACTTAGCTGAGAGCTTCCTTGACTCACATTACAGGAGGAGCCATACCTACTGCTGCTGGTGGGGCTGTGAGAATGACAGAAAGACAGATAAGTAAATAAATGCAATCAGGGACCAGGACAAAAGAAAGGAGACATCCAGGAAATAATGACTACATTAGTAGCAAGAATCAAATAGGAGGTTCCTGGGAAGAGAGGACCAAACTTCATAATCTAGAAGAATTAGTCTCTATTCAGCGAAAACACAACAGGAAAACAACACAACATGCTGGGTTCTCCAACGACACTTAACCTCAGTTCTGCACTTGACTTTGAAGTATATTTTATCTTAATAGGCTATTTGTGAGTAGGATTAAAAATTATTAAAATGGCCTGTTACTTATTCCTAAAATTCTTTATTCAGTCTTCTAAAGAAGCTTGTCCAGTGGCTGTGATTAATCTTTCTTTAATTTCCACACAGTAAAATGGAATGAATGAACTCCACTCTTTTTCTATTACTTATTACATTGAGGTCATCATTTCTTCCTCTACAATTGTAAATGTGTACGCCTGTACCTTAGGATGAGCAAAGGAGAGCAGACATGTTCTTTCAGTTATCATCTCAGTTTCCTCATCTGCAAGATGAGTTAATAGAACCCATTGGAAGATAGAGGCCAGGACCAAGAGAATACACAAACGAATGGTCTCATCAACATAAATGCTACAATGATATCCCTGGCAGCATAGGAAGCGTCCCAAAGATGAACATCTGTAACTGAGCTTCTTTCAGGGCAAGGCTCAGTTTTGGAAAGAGTGGACAAAGTCCAACTCCAGGATCTGGGTCAGAGCCGTATTCATGCATCTCTATATCTGAAGACCAGCAAGCCAATCTTTTCTCAATCACCTGTATTCCCATATCCAGAAAGTCATGAGAGAAAGCAGTTATAGCAGAGAATGTGACAGTGGCAAGAAGGGCAGAGTGGTGGAAAGAAGAGCAGTATCTAGAAGTTACTTCCTTGAGTTTTATGGCCCTGTCATCTAAGGGCTTCAGTTCTTTTGAAGAATTTTCTTACCACAGAGTCAAGCCTTTAACTAAAGGGCTTGTGTTTACCCTTGGTCAAAGAAGAGAAATCACTGTTATTTTCCAATGGGATTTTCCCTAAAGTTCCTCCTAATTACCTGGTATTTTCAGGCTGATTTCTGATCCTCTAGCCCATGCCAGCAGAATAGGTACCAGGTCACTGTTCTGAGTAGTTCAACACACAAACACATATACTTGTACATAAGTATACACACACACACACACACACACACACACACACACACACACACTGACCCTGACCAACCCCTTTGAACAAGTTTGGGCCAGAGGTCAAGGTAGCATTCTTAATCTGTACTGTATGGTACTGCTTCTTAGGGGAAATAACAGTACCCTCTGCAGATAGATCCTGTACACTGCTCGAGACTGAAGAACTACAGCAAAGGACAGCTCTGAGTTCCTGTGAGATTTTACTCAAAGCATTTATCAGACATCAGCCTTGAGGGTAGTAAAAGGCAGAGATGATACCATGGAAGAAACTATGCAAATCTGTATGGAATAGGATATGGGAATACAGACTATCCCAAGGCATCCTTTGCACTTTGTATTTTGCTTAATACACTCATTGCCACTGGAGAAAGCATCTTAGAAGACTTGAAAAAACAAAGCAAAATAGATCTATCCCCATCTCCTACAAGATATAAGTGCCTAAGGCCCAAGGAAGCATCCTAGCCTATCATGTAGTTGTAGTTAATATATACCACCAACTACTTACTACCTCTTCCTGCCCTCCTTTCTCCATTTCACATTATACAAGGCAGAGCAAACCAGAGTGAGTAAATATCGGGGGCCCAGCTTTTGCTTTAAGCAGGAAGCTCCTTGTTCCAGTAAATGAATTACATTTGGCAGAGAGAGAAGGGGAGGATGAAAATACCCACACACTGAGTTCTTGTTATTTAACCCCTAATTAACATGAAGCTCGGGTACTAGGAAAGACACAAGAAGGATAAAAAGCAAGCTATGATTAATCTACCACTAAGTCACTTGCATCATAAATGGTCAATTCCTTAAAGCCATTTATGATGCTTGAGTTAAGAACAGGCCTTTTGTTGGTCATGGGCTCCTTGATGTCATTCAGAGTGACTGGCTGCTGTACATTCAAATCAGAGTCAGTACTGGCAGGTACTGCCTCCTCTTCTTGTTTTTCTAGCTGGTGAAATATCTCAGAGACAGTGGAGGGTTCTTCCTCATGTTTCCCTGAAGGACAGGCGGGGCTAGACAGGTTGGCTTTGGTATCCCAGTGTTCTCCAGATGCTGAGATTTCCTGCTGGTTTCCCCCTTCTCCAGACCCTGAAAGCCCCTGAGCACAGACCTCTGGACTGGCCACCAGCTGCTCAGAGGTCCCAGAGGGCTGAGTGTAGACTTTACCTGGCTGAGCACTGGCCCCAGATATTTGAGAAGACTTCAAAGCTTTGTTAGCCTCACTGGAGTTAAGGTCCTGATCACTGCTAGTAACTAAAACTGGAGGGGAGGATTCTGTAGGCATTTGTTCAGGGACCCCTTTGTTCTCTTTTGGCCATGGAAATGAAAGATCTACCTTTCCAAATCCTAGTTTTGAATCACTTGCTAATACACTCCCTTTCCCCTCACTACTTCCCTCAAATAGAGTTGACAACTTCTTAAAACTGGACATTAAACCAGTCTCTGCTGCTCTATTGCCAGAGGGGAGAGGTGAGGAAAAGAAAGAGCTCAGTGGTTTCCCATGGTTAGTAGCAGAGGATGGCAAACGAAGCTTTGGCCAAGTGGTCACATTTGGGATCTCAAAACGTGGTCTTGACTGCTCTGTTTCCTGGGGTACTACAGGTGGATCTTTCTGGGCATGAATTATCTCACAACTTTCTCTGGCAGCAAGCACAGGGTCCTCCAGCAGAGGATGAGAAAAGTGCCCTTCGGTTTCCAGAGTGGTGCTCTGGCTCACACTTGCATCATTGAACAGCATAGTATCAGTTTCTAGTGAACTGGCTGGATGCAGCTCCAGTAAGTCTTGGTTTGTGGAGGCAGTTTGAATAGCTGGCTCTGGCTCAAGAGGAAGAGGTGGCTGAATGGGAGGAGGAAGCTCTTCGGCAATGCAGGTAGGATCTGGATGCAACTGTGCTGGCAGCGCAAAGTTCTCTGCTTCTAACGATGCCTCCGTGTCTGTAGCTTGCAATATCCCCATGTCTCCTTCATCACTCAGAGACAATACTCCTTGCCCAGTATCATCACCCGAGAAAGAAGATGTATTAATTGTTTCAGAACGTTGAGGTTCCAGAATATTTTCAGGAGTATTATTGTCTTCCATTTTGGTTGTTAGTTTAGGATCATCTGTCAAGATATCTGATTCTGGCTTTGCACTAACCACAGTCATTCTACAGTCACTGAGAGTAGATTCTGAACTTAGTGCTGTAAAGGCAGCTTCTCTCCTTTCTGGAGGTACTGATCCTACAGCATCTCTGGAACAACCATTTTGAAGCCATGAAGTAGCTGGGAGAGATGATTCTTGTTTGTATGGCTCTGGCTTGGGACTTTTGAAAATTCCAAATAATTCACCTTTGAGGGGCTGAGATGATACATCAGAAGCAAGAGAGAAAAAGGAGTTTTTCTTTGGAGATTTAGGAGAGGAGAAAAGTCCAGAGAGTGTTTTGGGAGGTTCAATTAAGCTCCCAGAGAAAGATTTCACTTTGGTCACAAACCCTGAAAGCATGTCTACTGAAGAGCCTAATGCAAATTTGTCTTCCTCTTTATCTGCATCTTGGTTCTGAAGGTTCCCTGCACACCCTGGCTCTGGAGAGGAAGAGGCTGGCTCTAGGATCTGTGGTAAGACCTCATCGGGGGCCTTTTCTAATGGCAAGTTCACTGGGTCAGTAGTAAATTTCTCATTTTGGTGGCAGTTAGTACAAGTGTCTAAATCATTGAATTTTTCAATTAACTGTTTAGCATGTGAAAAAGAGTTGGACAGTGAGTCACTGGGGAAGGCTTTGTGGTTGAAAGCCTCTTCTTCATGGGGAGCTATCCCAAGGTTCTCTGGGCCAGTGAGGAATGTTTCAGCCTGTGCCTGAAATTCTGGTGAAGGAGGAATAATGTCTTTTTGCAATTCATTCATCTGGAAATCCACTGATGTCCCTGGTACAATATTGGAACTCAGTTTTTCCTGACAGTCCTTGTCTACACTGAGCTCATCTGCAAGGGAGGTAACCTCAATGGTGTTGTTAATGGAAATACAAGGTGCCATTTGCTGTTCATGAACTACTTCTTGGGCTATGCTATCTCTATGACCACTGGAACTTTCTCTGGTCATTGTGCTACCACTCTCTACAAAAACATTTGTCTTCTTACAGGGCTGGGAGGTCACTGGAACAACAGTTGAAATGCTTTGTTTTTCCCCAGAGGTCTCCTTTTTTTGATCCAAAAAGGACAAGCTGAAGAAACTAAAAGTAGAACTACTATGAGAGGCATCCTTCTTAATGCTTGAGCTAGCAGTGGAAAAAAATGAAGGAAGTGTGAATAGCCCTTCTGCCTGAGATTTGGCTCTTGGTAGAGTAGCAGAGGCTCTGTTCTCAGATTTTTCAGATCCAGTGAGAAAAGAAAATATACTCTTTTTGGTTGATAACTCTGGTTGAGATGAAGATGTTGCAGCCATAGAGAAACTCCAGTCTTTGTCAGAAAAATGATCTTGTTCATTTGAATTTCTCTTGCTCAGGGTATCAAAGGATATTTCATTACTTTTTGAAACTTCTGTCACTGTAGTCACACCACTAGTTTCTACTGAAGACTCCCTGGAAGACTCTTTGAGACTACTTGTTGAAAAAGATGAATTAGGTGACTGCTGGATTAGATGGTCTCTGAATGGTACCTCTTTTTCAGTCAAATCATTACCCTGGATCCCTCTAGTTGATTCCTCTAACCTACTGTCATCGATAGTAGTCTGTTTGTTCAGTCTTCTAACTCTAGCCTTCCCTTTAGAGGAAATTGGTGCAGCAGGAAAGTTCCCAGCACCCTGGCTAGCTAGCTCCATAGGAGTAGGACTTGACCTGACCTCATCCTTAATAGTCATTGAAGAAACAGACGTATTTTCAGTTGTCTGTATAGGAGATACATTGGCTTTAAAGAAATCCCCAAGGGTACCCCAAAAATTTGAAACACCAGAAGATTCTTTCTTTTCTTGAGGTGGTATCTTGACATTTGTATCACCAATCTTTTCTAAGTTTGGTGATCCTTCTTTATTCACCTGAGTCTTAAAAAGATTCAAAAATCCAGATGACTGTTTTTCATTTGCTGTCATACTAACTGACGATTCTTCTTGACTGAAGAGTTTCAATGAACTTTTAAATAATGTTTTATCAGACTCTTTGGATGACTGGCCCTGGGGAAGCTCATAATTCTCACGCTCATCCCCACTATGCTGAGGTGCAGGAGAAACTGAAATAGAGTCTGTTGTAATGATTTCATCATCTTTTACACCTGATTTAGCCTGAGGAGTTGTTTGGCTTACCTGGAAACCAGATTTTAACAAACTTTGCTTTTTCACATGGTTGTTTTTATTTAAAGAGAATTCTTGCCTTATATTTTTGATCAATTCTGGATGCTGAACATTGGATACTATCTGTCTTTCTGAATCCTTAAGAAGACTTTTTTCCACATTTGGGGAGTTACCCTCTAATTGCTTACTCATGATTAATGACTGAAAGCCATCATTTGTGAGCTCTGCTAAATCTGACTGCTGATTCACTTTCTGCATGGCCAAAGCCTCTAAGGATTCACTCTTATCAAACTTCAAAGTACTACCAACTGAGGCACCCAAAACAGAAAATACTGAAGCCACTTTGTTCACTAATGATGTCTCTTCTGCTTGTTGTGAGCCTTTAGTCATATTTTCAGGATGAACCAAAGTGGTAACTTCTTCAACAGAAGACTGAAGCCAATGGAAACTGGAAAGGTGAACTGATGAATCTTCAGCTAGAGGCTGGTTTTTATCTCTCTCTATAATTTGATCTCTGCTTGAGACATGATTACTAATAGTTTGGGGCTGATTTCTGAGATCTAATGTACATTCAGCGTCTTCAGAACCACACGGCCTTTCTTTGAAAGATCTAAAGTCTCCTTTAAACTTTTGACGATTATAGCCTGAAAAATCTAGTGGCTGATCGCTTTGGTCACAACTTGACTCTTTAAGTACTTGTGAAAAGGTTTCTAAATTTAGATACAATGGTTCCTCACTTCTTGGCAAAGCTAAAGATAAATCAAGAGGGTCATCAATTGGTTCCTCTTCAACATACCAAAATATTTCATCTTCCTTATCAAGTACTTTAAAACTACAGGCAGAAATAATGCTGTCATCCAACGTAATACTTGATAGACCATTTGTCTGTAAATCACAATCCAAATACTCTTGATAAGAATCAGGTATAAATAAATATGCATACTGCCCAGTAGAATCAGTGAGAAGAGAATAGATATATTGACCATCATGAAACATATAATATCCATAATCCCCATCCTCTGATGGCCACCACACTCCATGTTCAAGACATGACAACCATTCCTGGTACTCATAACCAAAACTTGAAAAAACAAAGTTTTCATCCATTCTTAATGATTCTTGATCAACTACGGGGCATGTAGTCTTTTCATGATCTGATGAAGAACTTAAGTCAATGGGTAATTCTTCTAGTGAATTATTAGCCTCATTAATTGGAAGAGGACCAGAGTTTCCATATAATGAGTTAGCTGCCCACACATCACCTCTTAATAAGTAATCTTCATTAAATGCTAACTGATTGAATGATTCATATGGTAAGTCACACCAAATGACACTGTTTGGATTTGTTCTCCACTCCAAGATGTTTGCATTTTGATCTTTTTGGCAAAAATTTATCACTGAGTTTTCTGAGTCAAGCCACAAGCAAGCATCGGCTGATAGAAATCTATTTTGATTTAACATATAATAAACTGGCTGAAGTTTTCTGGAATTTTTAGACAAATCTTTTATGTCAGAGTCCCATTCAAAACAGAAAGGACTGTTCATCTCTTCAAAAGCCTGATAGTTGTTTGATTTATTGAGAATGTTGGTATTTAGTACAGGTGAATTTAACTTGTTTGAATTTTCATGTAGTTTTGCCTCAAGAACATGGTTTGGCATTTGCCTCTTAGCCATAGATTTCTCCAAAAAACCTAGCTGAGCACTTGGAGCACAGTGAAGTACAATGTTCTCAGAGGAGGGGTGATGCTTTTCACTTTGCTGGTTTTTCTCTGTAGGGGAACAATAATGATTATCATCCCCAGCATCAGATAATGGTATGTTTTCTTTAGGTAATAAGGAGGCTTCTATGAAGCTAGAAGTTTCATGTTTTTCAACATGGTTCTTCGGGTTCTCAGAAGTCACACATGAAGTAGCAGGGACCTCATCCAAGGATAAATGGTTATCTCCATTCAAACTCTTCATGTTGCCTAAAGACATGAACTTTGCTTCCTCTGGTTTATGATCAATCATACCGCTATTTGATAGCAGGTTAAATATTCCAGAGATTAAACCTGGGGTATTATTCTTGTGATGGGAGTCATCATTTTTCAAATTTAATTCTTGACTAGACAAATTTTCAGCAGAAGAAAACCTATTAAACAGGCCAGAAAGGAAGCTTCCTTGGGTATTTTTCTTGGAAGTCTTATCTATAACCTCATCTTCATTAATTTCATTAACCAAAGTGGATTTGGAAGTGGTAGAAATACACTCTAATGAAGAGTCTGATGCTACTGAAGATGCTGCTTGTATAAGATTCTTATCTTCTCCTAAAGGATCTGAAGTTATATGTTCTTTGGGCACAACTCCAGGGATGGCTAAGCCATCCCTTTCAAAATTCTGTCCTGCTGTGTGGTCACTTGGATTTAATTCCTCTATATTCCCAAATTTCCCCAGATCATTATTAATATTTGTAACTGAATCAGACTTTATTATATTAAATTTGGCATCTTCAGGACTATTTATTTGGTCATTCTGATTAAATTCCTCTGTACTGTCAAATTTCCCTAGATTATCCTGAGTATTTGGAGCTGAACCAGATTTTATTGAACTAAGTTTGGCATCTTCAGGACAATTTACTTGGTCATTCTTATTAAATTCCTTTATACTGTCAAACTTCTCTAGATCATCATGAATATTTGGAACTGAACTAGATTTTATTGAATTAAGTTTGGCATCTTCAGGACAATTTATCTGGTCATTCTTTTTAAATTCCTCTGTACTGTCAAATTTTCCTAGATCACTATGAATATTTGGAACAGAACTAGATTTTATTGAACTATGTTTGGTATCTTCATGGCAATTTTTTTTGCTCTCCTCATCAGTGGTTACTGCTGAGCCACGTAAACTCTGGTCATTAACAGTAACCTTGCTGTCAGTGAAAGAAAATTTAAACAAAGGAAAAATGCTTCCTTTCTCTTTTAACTCCTGTTGCTTTTCAGAATGACCAAGACTTCTAAAAAATGGAAGATTTAGTTTTCCACTAAAGGAAAAGGAATGACCATCTTTCTTAGAGCCCCTTTCTAAACCATCTTCCTCCACCTGGCGAATTTTCACAGGTTCTGACAAACTTTCCTTTGAACAAGTCTCAGGGGAAGTGAGCAAAAACTGGCTAAATGATTTTCTGAGTGGCTCAAGGAAATCATCATTACCTGTAACTTTGTCCTCCTCTAATGGCTTTGAAAATACCTCTTTATTTGCAGTTCTACTGCCAGCTATACAAGGATGTCCTGGAGTATCTTTGGCACATATTTTTTGTTGATCTGGTAAAAGAGACAGATCTATACAGAGTTTTTCTTCCAATAGACTCTCATCATTTTTACTTGCAGAACTAACTAAGTTTGAAGGTTCACTGGTTACTTGGGAGGACAACAAATTCTCACTTGTGGGCATCTGGAACCAGCCCGTAGTTTCTTCATCACTCCCATTTAAAGCAATGATGCTACTACTGTAATTGTCAAGAGTGCCTTCCCTTTTATTTAACTCCAAACCACACTCAACAAAGCTTTCTTTTCTTGGTGGCTTACTCTGGTCATCATCTTTTTTTGTTTCCTCCTTTTCTGAAAAGATCTTCAATGGATTTAACCTGCTGAAAACCGACTTTATAACTGAACTCTGACTCTGTGGAGCCAAGTCCTTTGCAATACTTTCTGTTGTATTCTGAAAGTATAAACTCCCAGTTTTATTACCCATGTGCTCATTTTCAGAGGTTTTTCTATGTCTGTCTATATTCACATTATCATCTTTTTGAGAGGATAATGGAGATTGCATGGAAAGATCCTTCCCCAATACTGCCATGGCTCTGGGTTTAGATCCCAAATTAATTGCCTCTATTTGATTAAGAGTTTCTGTTTTTTCTGGAACTAAGGAAACCAACTTTTCCACAGAGTTTGTTAGATGCTTTGTGCCTGAACCCACTTTTTCTGTGAGTGAACTAAACAAAGAACCAACAGCACATTGTACTCCAGTCAACTCAGGGAAAGAGATGGCCGTGTCCTTGTCATTCTTGACAATAGTTAAAGGTGGTATTTGATCCCCAGGCGTTCTCTGTTCTGCATCAAGAGTACTATTTTGTTTATGTGATTTTTTAGTTTTTGAAAGTGAACCAAATCTATTAATCTCCTCTTCCTTCTCTGCTAAATATTCTGACACCGTTTCTACCAAACACTGAAGCTCATCCATTGTATCAATACGGTCCTCCTTGGGCTCCTCAATAGAGGAAGGGGTTATCTCTTCTATAGAGCACTCAGACAGATCTCCAAGTGTTTTTGCATCACAATTCATCCTTTGTAATGGCAATGCTGAATTTGCTACATAATATTCCTCAGGAAAATCTCCAATATGGTGGACATTGGATGAATGCCATGTTGGTGACTGTAAATTTTCCTGCTTATCAGAAATGGGGGAACCCAGAAGTTCATCAGAAGTACTACTAGTAGAATCTTCAAGAATATCTAATGAGGTAAAATTAGTGACATGCTGGTTTGAGCCAGATGACTTTTCACAGTGCCTTAAACAACTGGACAGATCATAATCATGACTTTCCAACTTAATGCGCTGCATGCCACTCTTAACCACAAATCCATTTTTGTAGGGGTACAAAACTGGGTACCCCATATTTTGTTTCTTTTCAGTATGGCAAAGGGTACAATTTTCAGTATTAGAATATGTACTTTTGTAGTTAGTCTTAGTTTCAGATCTCTCACCATATTGCCTTCTTTCACTGTCTTCAAAATGATTGTATAAGGATTTCTTTTTTCTTCTTCTATCTAGTGTATCATATTTCTGAGCATACCTGGAGAAAACAGAAGTTTCAACCTTAAACTCAGTAGAGAATTCTGTTTGTTGGCTCTGAGGTGGTATCTTTTTCCTGTTCTTATACTTTGGTTGTTTTTGTTGGCTGTAGTATTTATCAGCTTTTGAAAGGGTTCTAATTTCTTTTATCTCTGCTTCCTTCAAGTTTATGTTATTATTTTCTAGAAACTCTTGTGATATTTTCCCCTCTATCTCCTTATGTATATCTTCTTGCTCTTCATAGTCAACATCAGAGAAAGCTGAAATAATCCTAATTTTTTCATCTTTAGCCTGTGAGCCTTGTCTGATGTGAAGGGATAAAATTGGAGGAACAATAAAGCAAAGAAAAAGGAAGAGACAGGGAAAAGGAAGAAAGAAGTTATAAGATTTAATACATGTTCAATGAGAAGACTAGAACAATAAAATTGCCAATGTGATAAAAAGCATTCAGACTAAAAAAATATGAAAAGGAAATCCACATGTTCTTAAATATTATATCAATGTAGTCAAATAGTTTATTCCATATGAGAAAAAGAACAGCTATAATATCAATTTTTAAATGCTTCAACTTGCAATCATTTTTCATTGGTGAGCTTTTTAGAATTCTTTTATTTTTCTAAGAAACAAATGAAAAAAATGAAACATGTTGTACCAATATCTAGAATGTATTTGCAATATTAAAGTATACCAGCAAAATATATCAAGGGATTTCAAGAAAACGAAATTTGCTGATAAATTTTTAGTCTAAAAAGAAGCCAAGCTGTTAACTTTCTGAAAGTTATATTTGAGGATGTGTAGCCAAGAATATAGTCAAACATATTTCTTTTAATAAGAAAAAAATACATATAAAACCATTTTTTACTATCAGCAGAAGTCAAACTTTGTTATACTACAAAAAAATAACAAATTATTTAAGGCCTTATAATTTTTTTTTGAGACGGAGTTTTGCTCTTGTTGCCCAGGCTGGAGTGCAATGGCACATTCTCAGCTCATTGCAATGTCCGCCTCCTGGGTTCAAGCAATTCTCCTGCCTCAGCCTCCCGAGTAGCTGGGTCTACAGGCACCCACGACTAGGCCCAGCTAATTTTTGTATTTTTAGTAGAGGTGGGTTTTCACCATGTTGGCCAGGCTGGTCTTGAACTCCTGACCTCAGGTGATCCACCCGCCCTCAGCCTCCCAAACTACTGGAATTACAGGCATGAGCCACCATGCCCAGCCTAAGGCATTATAATTTGTTGTTTGTGAAATCTAAAGGCTATATGCATTGAGGATCACAGTGAAAAGAAAATCTTTCCCTATACTGATTATAGCAGCAGAAGCTACATGCCCACCTTAAAACAATGAATACTGAAGATAGCCTGAACTTTCTTTCACTTAGATTAAAGACTGCCTTCTTCTGTGTACCAAGGTAGGGATGGAGAAAGAACCTAAAGGCTAGGAGCTTATGAGTTCAGTGTGTTCTTTATAGATATAACATCCAAAAGCATTCATTTAGGAAACAGAAGCAAGATCAAAGCAGACACTTAGTCACTAAAAATCTTCCAGAAGGCCAGGTGCAGTGGCTCTCACCTGTAATCCAAGCACTTTCGGAGGCCAAGGCAGGAGGATCACTTGAACCCAGGAATTCAAGACCGGCCTGAGCAACAACGCAAGACCCTGTGTCTAAACTCACCATGTAGCAGTTTGGTGAGGTGGGCAAGAAAAGGACATCATCCTATGGTCTGGTGAATTTTGTATTGATTGACTGAGACAGAGTCTTGCTCTGTCATCCAGGCTGGAGTGCAGTGGTGCAATCTTGGCATACTATAGCTTCGACCTCCCAGACTCAAGCAATCTCTCCCAACTCAGCCTCCCAAGTAGCTAGGACCATAGGCATGCGCCACCACATCCAGCTAATTTTGTTTATTTTTTGTAGAGATGAGGTTTCACTATATTTCTCAGGCTGGTCTCAAGCTCTTGGACTCCAGTGATCCTCCCGCCTTGGCCTCCCAAAGTGCTGGGATTATAGGCATCAGTCACTGCACCTAGCCAGTCTAGTGAATTTTAGAAACTAAAAGGATAAGCTAAATTGGAATGATTTCTTGAAAACTAACCTCCAATCAATAAAATAATTGATTCAGGCACGGATCAATGGATGCTAATATCATTGAGTAAAAGACTATTGGGGAAACAGAGTATTGATACAGTCTCAGGTATCACTCCAGATATTATTAATTACAAAGGAGAAGAGGAAACTTTACACTGGAGAAATACGGCATATACCAAATTTTTTAACCATGAGATCAAACTAAACATCACCAATAATAAGACAAAGTAGGGGCCGGGCGCGGTGGCTCACGCCTGTAATCCCAGCACTTTGGGAGGCCGAGGTGGGTGAATCACGAGGTCAGGAGATCGAGACCATCCTGGCTAACACAGTGAAACCCCGTCTCTACTAAAAATACAAAAAATTAGCCGGGCACGGTGGCGGGTGCCTGTAATCCCAGCTACTCGGGAGGCTGAGGCAGGAGAATGGCGTGAACCCGGGAGGCGGAGCTTGCCGTGAGCCGAGATAGCGCCACTGCAGTCCGGCCTGGGCGAAAGAGCGAGACTCCGTCTCAAAAAAAAAAAAAAAAAAAAGACAAAGTATGTGCTTCCTGAATGCATGTGAAGGAAACATCCAGCATTTTTGCCAAAAACGTTTAACCTGATTCTAAACATGAAGAAATAATCAGACAAAACCAAACGAAGAGGCATTCTCAAAACAACTGGCCTGCACTCTTCAAAAAAAAAATGTGTCTTAGGCCAGGCACGGTGGCTCACGCCTGTAATTCCATTTGGGAAGCAGAGGAAGGCGTATCGTTTGAGGCCAGGAGATGGAGACCAGCTTGACCAACATGATGAAACCCCGTCTCTACCAAAAATACAAAAATTAGCCGGGCATGGTGGCGTGCACCTGTAGTCTCAGCTACTCCGGAGGCTGAGGCACGAGAATCACTTGAACCGGGGATGCTGAGGTTGTAGTGAGCCGAGATCACGCCACTGCACTCCAGCCTGGGAGACAGAGTGAGACTCTGTCTCAAAAAAAAAAAAAAAAGCTTCTTAAAAGACCAAAAAACCAAGGTAATGAAATTTTTGCTAAATTAAAGGAAGCTAAGGAAACATGAAAACCAAATGCAATGCATCACGGTTCTGGATTGGATCCTGGACCAGAAAGGAACAAATATACATACAGAACATTATGGAGATAACTGGAGAAATTTAAATATGGTCTAAACATTAGGTAATAACATTGCATCATTAAACTTCTTGAGTGTGATCATGATATTGAGGTTATATAAGATAAAGTTCTTTTTCTTAGGAGTAACATGCTGAAATACTTTCTGATGAAGTAACACAATATCTGCAACTTATTTTTAAGTGGTTCAGAGAAAATGTATGTGTATATGAATACATATTAGGGAGAATGAGATAAAGTAAATGTGGTAAAATGTTAACACAACTGGTAAATCTAGGCAACATGAATATGGGTTTTCATTGAATTATGTCTCCAAATTTTCTTTAAGTCTGAAATTTTTTTTAATCTTAGGGCAGGGGAGAGCACATATGTATGTACTTGCTTTTATACTCATAAATATATGACAACAGTCTATGGAAGGATACATAAGAAACAACAGTAGGAAGGGAATTATGAAACAGGAAGAAGATGGGGTGGAGGAAGGTAAGTGTGGGTGGGAAACTCTTTATGCTGTATTGACATTTTTTAACCACATAATTGTTTTATATATTTAAGAAATAAAATAAATTAAAACAAAGTTCCAGTAAAAATACTGAATCTGCTATAAGAAATCATACTGGTTTTCTTCTAAAGTTCCCAGGGAAATATTTAGGCAAGAAGGACTATCCAATCTGTGATTTTTTCTGTTTTTAATCTTGGCAAAGGGTATAACAAACTCACTGAGTCAGGAAGTGGGGCAGATACACCCCAAGTGGGATCGCCCTGATCAGTTGAGAATCACTGATCATGAAGAGAAGTATTCCTTATGGCAATATATAAACATAAAATTCCTTATGGCAATGTATAAACATGTGGAAGAAAAAAAAGACTAATAATCTACACAAAATGACTGTAGTTTGGCCGGTGATACTGCTACACTTACGCTACCTCTTCAGGTTAAAGCATCCAAATTCTTCTTGCCAATTGCATCATGAGACCTGGATATTAGGAAGAGAAAGTACTTTGTGCTCAATACCCACCTGATAGCCCGCCGCTCTGGATAATCAAGGTCATAACTTTGCATAGAGTCATTACAAGAGTCCCGGGAACTGCCTTGAAGTAGCAGCTGCTGTGGCGATCGCACCGGCACAGGGAACTGGTGCACAGAAGCGTTGGGCTGGGAAGCTGTATGGTAAGGAGGTGGGAAGCTGTTGCTGGTCTCACTGCGATAGTCACTATCTCGGTCATCGACGGCACTATCAGGGTCTTCAAAAGCTATGGAATAAGCACATTCAATCAAAGCACCCCAGCTTTATTTAGTTCTTCAGAATTATTTCTGCTTCTAACTTAGTAGTAACAAGTCTGGACCTTGAGAACAAAAGCAAGCTGAGCTTCACATGAGCCCAGTGACGACCTCAGAGCCATGAGCAGAACTGTCTCAATTAATACCCACAAGTTTCTCTTCCTTATCATATGAGATATATACTTAGTTTAATTTTAGTGCTTATTCTTAGAGGAGCTCTAGGTTGCATTTTCCCACTGTAGAATTCTTTGGAATTCTGCTTCTCCAACTATCATAACCATAATTAAAAACTGCTTTTAAATGTCACAAATACAGTCTGGTCCCCTGTTATTAAAGAAAGGGGAAAGGAGCAGAGGTTTAAAAAAGTTAGCTTTTTCATATCTTGGGGAAAAAAACCCCAAAACTTTTATTTAACGTTGTCTTGGTGTTTTCAGACTTTTAAACATATGGATTGAACCAAATAAGCAGGTCTAACATCAGAAGCTGGTCCTGGAAATCAGGAAGGTCAAAGCCAAGGCCTGGAAATCAAGTCAAAGGCTCTAGATGCAGCTGAGAACAGCAGCACTCTTACTGTGCTGCTGCAGTGTTAGCTTTTCCTAACAATTCCTGTCAAGCACCTACACCCTAGGCTCAGAATTCCCATCCAGAGGATGGGCTGAGAGAAGAAAAAACTTATGCACTGCCAATGGGATCTTGCTGACAATGCAGCCAAGTTTATCCAACAGCAGTGACTACAATTTCGTAGAATTATTTGTCCTTCAGACCAGCACCTGACTGGCTACAGTTTTTTTGTTAAAGTTAACTAAAAAGACCACACTTACAAATCATCGCTGTGCTTGGAAAGGGAGCTCAACCTAAGAGTGCTTTGAAGCCTGTTTTACAGAGAGGAAGTCGTATCTGACACCATACCCTTATGTGTATGATTAACAGGGTTCCACGTGTCCTTTCTTGACAAGTTCCTATTTGGCTTACAATGAGGAAAAGGAATGTTCACCATCCCAAAATGGAGATACTTTTAGCACAAAATGAACTCATGTTAGTAATTTTAAAAGATTATCTTGGGGCCAGGCGCGGTGGCTCCCACCTGTAATCCCAGCACTTTGGGAGTCCAAGGCAGGTGGATCACCTGAGGTCAGGAGTTCAAGACCAGCCTGGCCAACATGGTGGAACCCCATCTCTATAAAAATACAAAAATTAGCCGGGCATGATGGCAGATGCCTGTAATCCTAGCTACTAGGGAGGCTTAGGCGGAAGAATCGCTTGAACCCAGAGGGTGGAAGTTGCAGTGAGCTAAGATCATGCCATTGCATTCCAGCCTGGGCGACAGAGCAAGGCTCCGTCTCAAAAAAAAAAAAAGATAATCTTGTAGCAATGTGGGCAGTGGAAACCTCCTGAAGACCGTAAGATTAGGCTTTTACAATTGCTCAGGCAGGAGATAAGGACCTGCATCTATACAGCGGAAACAGAAAAGAGTTAATGAACTAGAAAAAGAAAATTCCAGACAGAATTGTAAAACATGGGGCCATATTGAAGATAATAGGGAAATGACCCCCCTTGGCTTCATTAGACAAGTTGGTAGATAAGAATTCCACTAAAAGAGAGCACAAACATGTGGGTTTTATAGGTAAGGAAGAAAATCTGAGCATTGGACTCTCAATAACATTTGTGGGTACAGATGGGAGACAGGGGTAAGATGATCTTATGAGCTTTTCCTATTTGAGTTTATGGTTACATGTGAACATAAAAAAGGAGAGGAGAGGGATTAGAACTCCGGGAGGAAAAATATCAACATGAGAAAGAAGCTAATGTTCAAATGGTCAGGAACAAGTATTAGTTAATACTTGACATTTGGAGCAAGTAGTCCACTGACCAGGGCAGGAGTAGCAAAGCTTGAAAACAAAAGCAAACAAGAGGGATGCAAAGCATTCTGCTTACAAAGCATTCTGATGATATATTAAGAAAAAGAGACTTTGGAAGCACTGTTTTTAGCCCTTGATGCATCTGTTGTTCTGAAGACAAGAAAAATAGGACCCAGAGACAAAACCATATGCCACTCAGACTTAATTCTTTCTGAACCCACAGAAAGAGCAAGTCTGTAGAAGTCAGTGCTGGACTATTCATGCATACAGATGAAGGGGCAGAGGCAACAAAGGAGACAAAACCAGAGGTCTACTAAACTCTGGCAGGAAAAGTATTAGCACATAACCCAGAGAAACAAGATTCAGTCTCCAAGGAGGCAACTGCGACAGACAATCCTATCACTTTTGAGGCCAGAGAGGGCAGCTCAGCCAGAGTTAGAAGCCCACAACCCAAATCCACAGGTTTTACTTTCTCCCTGCATGTGACCTATTACTCCTAAATAATAGTCTGCTTTTTGTTTATTTTGCTAGGCTAAACAGAGATACTCTACAACTTTACTAAAGGCTAACAACATTTCTACACTAAAGAAATAAAGGGCAAATATTAAGAAACAAAGCATCCATGGAAAGAAGAGGTTGGGAGTAGAAGAGAATATGAAAAGCAGGAGAGGGCAAGAGAGAGAATATACTAAGGAATAAAGTGAGACAAAGGAGAGAAACAGAAAAAAGTAGTGAGAGGCAATCACCTCCAGTTTTCCTAAAAAGTAAACCTCCTGGCACCAAGCCTGATTAGAAACTAAAAAGGGAAATTCAGGAAAATATGTAACACTTCAATTTGAATTAAATAACTGTGTTTTTAATGTGTCACTGACGATCTCTTACTGCCTCCATAATCTATCCCACAGCACCATGTCGGCTAGACGAGAAAAGCCCTGGCTTTGCAGAGAGAAACTGAGTGCAGGTTTGGTTGGCTCAGCCTAAGAAGGAACTAGAGAGCCAGTTTGAGGGTAACAGTTGAAAAGCCCCTGGTAAAGTCTATTTGAAAGATGGAAAATTAAAAGGCTGGGAACACCTACTCACTCAAATATTCACTGACTGCCTACATATCCAAAGCTAAACAACACAGAAGACTCAGAATATAGAGTCAGTCTAATAGGAGACAGAATATATAGACACAAATATTGAATTGCTATGCAAGGCAGTTAGTACAAACCAAGTGCTATGAATTAAAAGTAAAATCACTTCCTGATAGGGTAACTAAGGAAGCTTTAAGGAGGAGATGGCTTTGAAGAATTGGTTCATTTTTAATAGGTGAAGATTGGAGGCAGAAGGGAAATATCTTCTAGAATTTGGATAAAAGCAGTGGCATGATGAAAGGCCCAGTGGTAGGAAAGGCTATATATTTTTGAGAAACCATTTTGTAGTTCATTTGATAGGTAAATAAAAAGACATAGAGGAAATTATGGAAAATTAAAAACCTGCAAAAGTAGGCTGGGAAGGTCATCTAACCTGGGGCAAACAAAGATGGGCCTCCAAGCACACAGCAGGCACTCAAACAAAATCCAGTGAAATACAGAAAAATGAGGCCCTCTAGTATGTGGTATTCCTGGATTGAGTCTTGGATTGGTCTTTAAATCCACAGCACACCTATTAATAGAACTTCAGCAACCAAAGAAAGGAAAGAAAATTCATTCACATTTTTTTCATGGCTTAGTTGCTTTTTCTACTTGAAAACCTTAACTTACCTGAGCTCTGTTAACCCATTTATGCCTGAGGTTGCAATTTATGCTTGAGGTCACCTACTGCTTGGCGATGACCTTGAGCAGTAGGATATAAATAACTCCCACATGCTTAGAGTTCCAATAATGGAACACTAGGCATAAATGGGTCAAGCTGCTTTTGAGTACTTTCCTAATAGCAGAAGTACTCAGGATTCAAATCACAGAAAGCACAGACTTCATGAGAAATTCCAGTGACAGGACAAACTTTGGCCCGTCTTAGTACCTACTGGATACCTAATCACTGAGACTCAACCAGATCCTGTAAGATGGGTAACACAACCAGTAATGTCAGCCTAGGGCTACATGTTTTGCCACAAAGAACTGGCTGCCCACTCTCTAAGCTCTAGAACAAAGGTGGCCTTAGCTGGGCTGCTTCAGGGAAAGCCAAGCCATATCCTCAGCCTCTTGTTTCCTTAACAAAAGCAGGTTTTTGGCTGAAATGGCATTCACAATTTGCTAGACCAATAAACCCAAGACAGCAGTCTGTTCTGCATATCCTCCTAGTCAAGAAAATCAGCCAAATCAGAATGCACACCAATCACCTTGACTCTAGTTCATCCTAGAATGAACCTTCTCCTTCTGGTCACTGCACTCCTTAGCCAAAGGGACCAAAGGAGAAGGCCACACTAGGGGGCTGATGCTACTACTTGCCTCTGGGGAATAAAAATTAGGAGATCTTGTCAGGATTATGACTGGGACTTTGGTTTGAAATTTGTAACACACATAAACACACACAAAGTCGTCAAGAAACCAGCCTGAAAGGATATAACATTCCACCACAGGTCATTGTCTCCCGATATTTAAGTAGGAGAGGAGAGGGAAATGGAAGTCTATGCATGAATATCCAGCTTCACAGTTCAGAGGGAGTATGTACTTTGTGGGTAAGATCAAGAAAATGATAAGGAATTTCAATTCTTACGTACTCTGTTGTTCTCCCCAGCCCAAATAGGTCCAGTGACCTAAGAAAACCACAAAGAAGCAGCAGATAATTTTTGAAAATACTTTTTTGAAGGAATTCAAAAGTCATTTCCCCATCTCAGCAATTATTATGTGCCTTACCTTACTTAAGCCTACCTCACTTGTATTCTACTAACTTTACATAACATAGAGTTTCTGCCTTCTACCAAATGTGAGACAAATCTACAAAGTATTCTTGTTCTCTGCCTTTCACTATAGAGAGAGACTAACAACAACCCAAAAAACCCACAGAACAACAACAACAAAAAATTACTTCTTCCATATTGTTTTAAGCCCCCTTCTGGTCTAGGTCTCTCTCAGAACACCATCATTTAGGAGCTCATGTCTTTCCTTTGTCAAAATAAGAAAAATTAGATCTCTGTCTCTAAGAAACCCTTCCTTATCTCTGTGTTCACCAAACCTGAGCCCATCACAATAAATCTATGAGAAGCTAAGCCCTGATACCATGGGTAAGGGAGTAATTCCCTTGTCTGGGAGCGAAGATAGTCAATTTTGCTGTTCTCTACTGAAAGTTAAAAGGTCAAAGAATGGCAATGTTTATCTCTTAAGAAATTAATCTTCTAATTAAGCTCCCAGACTCCCTTACCCATGGTATCAGGGCTTAGCTTCTCATAGATTTATTGTGATAGGCTCAGGTTTGGTGAACGCAGAGACAAGGAAGGGTTTCTTAGAGACAGAGATCTAATTTTTCTTATTTTGACAAAGGAAAGACATATGAGCTCCTAAATGATGGTGTTCTGAGAGAGACCTAGATCAGAAAGGGGCTTAAAACAATATGTAATAAACCACTCTAGCCTATTGGGTCCTTAAAGAGAGCCACTTCTTCTGAATTACCTATAAATTTTTAATAAAATCCACTAAAACACAGAAGCTTTGAAGGACAGGAGAAAATTGAAAATATTTTTTATTCATTTTTCAAAATCAAAAATCCACTATTAATTAAGTCCTATCCCACACCCAAATTGAATTTCAAGAAACTAATTGTGATAAAGAAATCATTAAAAATAGGCCTTTAATCTCAAGAAACAAGAAGTAAATAGCTTCATAATTAAGAATATGGGTTTTTTATTTTTTGAGACAGAGTCTCACTCTGTCACCCAGGTTGGAGTGCGGTGACACGATCTCGGCTCACTGCAACCTCTGTCCCCAGGTTCAAGTGATTCTCATGCCTCAGGCTCCCAAGAAGCTGGGATTACAGGCGCCTACCAACACGCCTGGCTAATTTTTGTATTTTCAGTAGAGACAGGGTTTCACCATGTTGGCCAGGCTGGCCTCGAACTCCTAACCTCCAGTGATCCACCCGCCTCAGCCTCCCAAAGTGCTGGGATTACAGGAGTGAGCCACCATGCTCAGCCAAGAATATGGGTTTTAAAGTCAACATTCAGTTCTTCTGGCTCTGCGATTTACTAGCTATATGATCTTGAGAAAGTTATTACAGATATTTCCTCATCTGTAATATGAGAATAACAATAACACAAGTGTCACTGGGTTACTGTAAAGATCATACAGGAAAAAATATGTAAAATGCTAGGCACAGTCCCTGGAAGATGGTGAGCAACTAGCATTTGTTGTTATTTTGTCACGTTACCAGGTTTTTGCTTGCCTTACAGAGTCCTAATAAATAAGAAGCAGAAAAAAAGACACAACTCCTAGAATTGCACCCTCTGACAGTCCCAAGGTCTGCTAAGGAATCTTCAATGTGGGGTCCACAAGGCCCACAAACTGGTTCTGAGTGTGTGACTCCCTTGAAAGTCTACAGTAAGACTCGAAATTCTAGGAACATCATATGATGCCAACCCAGGCTGTTTTCAGTACTTGAGCTAATCCTCAATCCTGGGCATACGGGACTACTAATCAATCACAGACTTTAATTTAGTGATACCCTGACAGCCAATTTTCTTCCTAGGCACTTACTTTATTCCGACCACCTATGTCTCTTCTTCTCACCTCTCAGAAAGGATATGTTGGCTTAGTGTGCCATTTTAAAATTGTAATAATTTATTTCACTTTCTAACCATGGGGGGAGGGGAGGCAAAAAAAAAAAACCCTCCTGTAGAACAGTTGCCATAGCAACTGCTAGAGGGTAATTACTTCATTTCTTTTAAAAAGAAAATGGAAAAAAAAAATCACATAGAACCTCAGAATATGTCTATCAACTTAGATTGCTCCAGGCAAGTGACAATGCTGTTTCTCACCACAATTGTGAGCCCAAAGAAGCCTTTCTGGGCAGGACACTGCCCCTCATCTTTGAGCACCCCACAGCAGTTTCTTATACATAAAAGTTCTCAGTAAATATCTACTGTACTAATAAATTGAATGAATAATCTGATCCCATCTACTGGGCCCATCTCTAACGCATGAAAAAACAAGTCATGTTCTCTGACAAGCCAGCTCCATATTCTCACCACTTTAGCTCAGAACCGTCATAAGATAAATTACACCGGTTTAAATAAGCAAGTTTCCTTCCCTATCCCAAAAATGCATTAAAACACATAACTAGCCAGCAGAACAATTACTGAGGATAGTTAGGTTTTGCTAGGCATTAGTACTGAGAAAAGGAAGGGGAAAATGTCCCAGGAAAAGGAAATTATGCATGCAAAGGCATGTTCAGTGAGCTGAAAATAGTTCCAGAATATCTAGAGTGAGAGGCTACAGAGTTATGAAAGAACCTAATGACTATGGGTCTTAGGTAATGTTTAGAAATCAAGTAATATTAAGGATTTGGAATTACCTGGAGGGCAACACAGAGCTATCAGAGCTTTTAAGAGGGGAAAGACAGGATCAGATTTGGCATTTTAGAAAGAGAACAGTGGAACAGTGTGGCCAATGGTGGTTGGTTGGGTAGAAAGGACTGGTGATTCATAGGGAGGAGGTGTCAGGGAGGCTCGTAAGGAGAATGGTGCACTCATCTGTTGATAGCCTGGACTAGGGAAGTGGCAGAGTGGGTAGAGAGAAGGGGATAGATTCATAAGATATTCTGGAGGGAAAATCAATAGCATTTAATGAGTAAATAAAATGTGGAAAGGAGGATTAAATAATATTGCTTAGGTTTTTAGCTTGAGCTACTGGATGAATGTGACATCATTCACCGAGAAAAAAATACAACATGGGGGCAGGCTGAAGAAGATGATTAATTCAGGGTTAGGTATATTGACTCTGAGATATCTATGGAACATCTCAAATGAACATGGCCAGTAGACAGCCAGATATACGGGTGTGGAGCTCAGGAAAGAGATGTGGAACAGACTTGGAAGTTTTCAGACTATATGTTCCAATAAGGGCAGGGATTTTTCTGCTTTGTTCTTTTGCTGTATCCTCAGCACCTGATAATGCATGGCACAATGTAAAAGTTCAACCAATATTTACAAATGAGTATAAATAAAAATGCAAGTAAATAAAAACACTAAGGCAGAGTGCAGGCCAAGAAAAAAAGACTATATGAAGTGGGGGAACCCTAAGGAACAATCACATTTAAAAAGCAGACAGAAATTTTAAAAAGAAGAAGAAAAAGAGGAAGAGAAGGAGGAGGAGGAAGAGGAACAATTGACAATCCAAAGCGTCAGTGAGGCTGTGGAGCAACTGGAACTCTTGTACATTGTTAGCGAGAATGCACAGTGAAGTCGGGCATGGTGGCTCTTGCCTGTAATCCCAGCACTTTGGGAGGTTGAGGTGGGCAGATCACCTGAGGTCAGGAGTTCGAGACTAGCCTGGCCAACATGGTGAAACCTGTCTCTACTAAAAATACAAAAATTAGCCAGGCATGGCGATGGGCACCTGTAATCCCAGCTACTCGGGAGACTGAGGCAGGAGAATCACTTGAACCCAGGAGCTGGTTGTTGCAGTGAGCCGTGATCATGCCAATGCACTCCAGCCTAGGCAACAGATTAAGACTCCAACTCAAAAAAAAAAAAGAAAGAAAGAAAGAAAGAAAAAGAAATGAAACTAACTCTAAAGGAAAGATAATTTATGATAACTTATAACAAGTTCAAAAACAGGCAAAACCAAAAAGTTAGCTGGGCATGGTGGTGCAGGCTTGTGGTCCCAGCTACATGGGAGGCTGAGGCAGGACAACTCACAGAATTCAACGAAACATTTTACTTATGTTTACCCGTCTACGGTAGAGGATATTACAAAGGACATAGTTGAACAGCCACATGAAGAAATACACAGAACAAGGTCTGGAAGAGTCCTGGGCACAGGAGCTTCTGCCCTGTGGATTTGCGATGCACCACCCTCCCAGCACACGGATGTGTTTGCCAACACAGAGGCTCCAAAAATCCACAGTTTTGGGATTTTTATGGAGGCTTTATCATATAGACACAATCTATTATAAGTAGTATTAGTGGTATTATTTTTTTGTAGAAACAGGGCCTCACTATGTTGTCCAGGCTGGTCTCAAGCTTCTGGAGTCATCCTACTGCTTCAGCCTCCCAAAGTGCTGGGATTACAGACAGGAGCCACTGTGCCTGACCTGGCATGATCAATTATTAACTCAATCTCCAGTTCCTCTCCCTTTCCTGAAGGAAAGGGAATGGGGCTAAAATTTCCAGGCTTCTTGGGAGGCCAAGGTGGGTGGATCATTTGAGGTCAGGAGTTCGAGACCAGCCTGGCCAACATAGTGAAACCTCTTCTCTACTAAAAATACAAAAATTAGCCAAGCATGGTGGCAGGCACCTGTAATCCCAGCTACTTGGGAGGCTAAGGCAGGAGAATCACTTGAACTTGGGAGGTGGAGGTTGCAGTGAGCCAAGATCACAGCCACTGCACTCCAGCCTGGGTGACAGAGTGAAACTCCATCTCAAAAAAAAAAAAAAAAAAAAAAAGTTCCAAGCTTCCAAACATGGCTTGGTCTGTCTGATAACTGGTTCCTATGTGGAAGCCCATCAAGAGTCCCTCATTAGAACAACAGACATTCCTAGTATCCATAAAATTCTAAGAGATTAGGAGCTCTGTGTCAGGAACCAGGGACAAAGACCAAAATATATGTTTCTTATTATAAAATCACAGTATCACAGCCCCCAGTGGTAATGGCATTGTATTTACAGTGTTAAAAATTCTCTAGAAATACGGGAGTATAGCAAGTACACCTCATGTCCAAAACCACCAAACTCCCAATACTTTGAAATCAGAAACCACAGGACCATTCTTAAAATTCCTCTTTATTTCCCATGTCCAATCAGTCAACAAACTTAGTAGTTAATTCTGCTGAAATCTCCTTCCTTTTGTGCTTTCCTTGAAGATTTAACTATCCTTATCAAGAAACTTATTACCTTATGAATTATTAGAGATTACAGAATTATTCTGAATTATTACAGATATTTGACTGGACTTTTTAAAAATTTGTTTTTAGAAACCAGGTCTTGCCCTGTCACCCATGCTGGAGTGCAGTGACAATCATGGCTCATTGCTGCCTCAACCAATCCTCCTACCCTAGCCTCCTGAGAAGCTGGGACTACAGGCACGTGCCATCACACTCGACTAATTTTTGTTTTCTGTAGAGATGGGGTCTCACCATGTTGCCCAGGCTGGTCTCAAACTCCCAAGCTCAAGCAATCCACCTGCCTCAGGCTCCCAAAGTGCTGGGATTACAGGAGTGAACCATGTGCCTGGCCATCTTTTAATTTTAATAATTACTTGAGGCTCTTGTTTAGAATGTAAATTTTAAACTCTACTCACAGAGATTCTAATTCAAAGGGCTTTTCAACAAGAAACTTGGTGACTCTCATGCCAATGATTCTTGAATTACATTGCGAAAAACACAGCTATAGAATTTCCTATATGAAAAAGCCACAGTCTCCCAGACAGAAGAATAATACTCCTGTGCTAATGGAGGAAGAAGGCAGCCAGACCCACTATCCTACTGAGCCTGAAGAAAAGTTCAATGTCATCATACAGTGAAAAAATTCTAGCAGTTCTAAGACGAAAGTACATCCTCTTTCCTAGAAGGTAAACCTCTGCACTTATCCCCATCCCCTAGGCTGGCTGACTAGGCTACAGCAACACACTCACAGGCTGCTTCTTCTGCACATTTTATCTTGTTTCTAGTGGAAAATGTAAGAAATCAGAAATAGTCACATTAAAAAGTAAGGTCTACAATTATCAAACAAAACACCCCCAGGCAACTGTTACACCACCCATTAGTAGTCCAGTACTGGCTAATGTTTCCATGACATTAAAATGATGGAATACTTAAGCCCCAGACTCCATGTGAACAGCCATCTGTCTAGGCAATGACAGGAACTCACCTATCAACTACTAAATTGTAGTAATTACCAGGTATCTCATAAGGACCATAAACTCAAACACTAGAAATTATTCTCTTCCCTTTTTCTAGACAGTTGATTCGGTAAGTACTGTAGAACTTCTCTTTCTACGGAAGACAGTAGTAAAGAACCTATAATTAAGGAAAACACTTCAAATCTAACATAGGAGAATAACAAAAAACTATTCACCAACGTTACTTGTGATATAGATAGAAAAATCCAAAATGAAATACAAGCAAATCAAGCCTAGCATTATAGTAAAAGAATAATTCACCATAACCAAGTAGGTTATATTTTAGAAAGGCAAAGATGATTTATTAATAGAAACTGATTAATGCATTCATTATATTAATAAGTCAAAGAAAAATATCCATGAATTGGTTAAGTACTATTAATGCATTTTGAAATGTTCAACATCCACTAATATTTTTAAATATGCAAGCTCTACTGAAGTATAAGATAGAGAAAAATATACAAATCATAACCGTACTGCTCAACGTTTTTGTTTTTTTGGTTTTTTTGAAACAGAATCTTGCTCTGTCAACCAGGCTGGAGTGCAGTGACATGATCTCAGCTCACTGTAACCTCTGCCTCCCGGGTTCAGGCAATTCTCCTGCCTCAGCCTCCCAAGTAGCTGGACTACAGGCTACAGTCGCATGCCACCACGCCTGGCTAATTTTTGTATTTTTAGTAGAGATGGGATTTCACCATGTTGGCCAGGCTTGTCTCAAACTCCTGACCTCAAGTGATCCCCCGGCCTCAGCCTCCCAAAGTTCTGGGATTACAGGCGTGAAACACCACGCCCGGCCTGTACTGCTCAATGAATACTGTGAACACACTCAGGTAACCAGCACACAGATCAAGAAACAGCATTCCCAGGACCCAGCAAAACTCTTCCTACTCCTTTTCAGTAGCTACCAGCTTTTGAACTAGCTGTTCACGCTGCCTATCACACTCTTTCCCCAGAGAGCCACGTTAATTCCCTCACCTATTTCAACTCTATTGAAATGTCACCTTCTCATGTGGCCAATACTCAGAATTTTATTTAAAATTGCAACTCAACTCCAATTCTAGCATTACCAACTGCCTTTCACTCTTTTATTGGTTCACTCTCTAACATCCTATATTATTTCCTTATTATGTTAATTGTCTATTTCTTCCCACCCAGGATCTTTGTTTTGCTCTCTGATATATCCTAAACACCTAGAACAAAACCTGGAATGTAAGTGTCAAAAAAATGTTTGTAGAAGAAAGTAACAAAAGGAAAAGAGGAGAGGGGGTGAAGAGGTGGGTGGGGGGCACGGTGTTGTTGAGTGGGCCAGTGAGGCTAAATGTGAAAATAAGTACCAGCAGCAGAAATATAAATAGGTAAAATATTTTTATACAATTTGATAGTGTCTAACAAAATTATAAATGTATATATTCTTTAACCCAATGATTCCACTTATAGAAATGCATTTATTCAACTAATATTTATTGGGCAAAGGTACTATGGATACACAGATAAGCATATTAATAAATCAAAGGAAAATACCTATGAACAATGGGTATACTCATGAAATGTATGGCCTAAAGAAGGGAACAAATATTAATCAAATAATCATACAAACTGAGAAAGTGCCATAGAGGAAAAATACATACTGTGTAATAGAGGATGGGAGATTCATTTGAACATGTTTACAAAAAAAAGTGTATAAAGTTGCTCACTATAGTATTGTGTTTTAGCAGCAAAAACTGGGGAACAATCCAAATGTCTACAAATTGGGGAAAAAATTTTAAATTATAGTATACTCAAACTATGGAATATGCCTGGCATCAATATCATCAATCTTCAATGTGCAACTACAATTTACAGGAAATACAAAGGACAGAAGAGTGTGTTAAGCTAAACTTATAGGAATGTTTTGAGCAAAATCGGGAATGTAAAAAACTCTGTAAGTCAAACAAAACCATATAGTCAAATGGCCTGATTTCTTCAATAAACAAATTGTAAGGAAAAAAAAGCAAGAGACGGAGGGGGAACCCATAGAATAAAAAATAATTGTAAGACATGATCAGGCATGGTGGCTCACACCTGTAATCCCATCACTTTGGGAGACTGAGGCAGGCAGATCACCTGAGGTCAGGAGTTCGAGACCAGCCTGGCCAACATGGTGAAATCCCATCTCTACTAAAAATACAAAAAAAATTATCCGGGTGTGGTGGCATGTGCCTGTAGTCCTAGCTACTCAGGAGGCTAAAGCAGGAGAATCTCTTGATCCCAGGAGGCAGAGGTTGCAGTGAGCCGAGATCACAGCCACTGCACTCCAGCCTGGGTGACAGAGTGAGACTATCCCAAAAACAAAACAAAACAAAACAAACAAAAAAAATTGTAAGACATATCAAAAAGAGAAAACAAGAAAACAAGCAAAAACAAACTCTAGTGTTTAAAGATACATACTTGGGTGACAACATATAAAGAACAAGAAGAGAGTAATTATTATAAAAGTTGGGATAGTAGGTACTTTTAGGGAAGAGGGGGTTGTGATTGGGAAGAGGCATATGGAGGCTTTCTGGGGTGGTTGGCAAAGGTCTATCTTTTACCTACCTTATACTAATACATTTAAACATTTGTTTTATAAAGTTGTCTATATATCTGTGTTATATTCTACCATTAAAAAGATTTTTAATGCAGCAAACTGCTCACATCACTATAATCACTGCTATCTAATTGTTTCATTCCTCTGCATAAAGTCATCAAAGGTTCCCCCTTGCCTTCAAGATAAAATATAAACAGCTTGCTATGGCATTCAAGCCCTTTGTGATATGAGTTCTCTGTGTCTCTCTGGCCTCATCTGACCCTTCCCCACTCTTCTTATTCCCTCCACCGAAGCCATCAAGAATTTTCAACTTGCAGTACCCCAAGGTACCTTAAGTCATGCTTTTTCATCTTAGTGTCCTTGTACTATGAACTCTTTTCTCCTTCTTCACTTAACTGTCTGCTACTCATCCTTTAAGACTCAATTTATGCCAAGGATCTGGGGAGAGGTAGAAATGAATAGGTAAACTACAGAAGATTTTTAGGGCAGCGTAACTATTCTATACTATAAGGGTGGATATGTGTCATCACACATTTGTCAAAATCCATAGAATGTACAATACAAAGAGAGAACCATAACGTAAACTACAGACTTTGTTTGAGATATCATTTCCTCTGGGAAGCAGTTCCTAACCATCCCAAATTTGTATTACATTCTCTTTCTCTGTATTCCTTGAATATCAAGTACTTACGTTCCCATTCACTTATCAAATGGTACTACTTATGTTTCTTCCTCTCTGGACTTGAGCTCCCTGAGGTCAGGGACTTTCATTCCTCTCTCTCTCTTTTTTTTTTTTTTGAGACAGTCTCTCACTCCCAGGCTCGAGTGCAGTGGTGTGATCTCAGCTCACTGCAACATCTGCCCCTAGCGTTCAAGCAATTCTCCTACCTCTGCCTCTCGAGTAGCTGCGATTACAGGAAAGTGCCACCATGCCCAGCTAATTTTTTTTTTTTTTTTTTGAGATAGAGTCTTGCTCTGTCACCAGGCTGGAGTGCAGTGGCGTGATCTCGGCTCACTGCAACCTCCGTCTCCCAGGTTCAAGCAATTCCCCTGCCTCAGCCTCCTGAGTAGCTGGGACTACAGGCGCATGCCACCACGCCCAGCTAATTTTTTGTATTTTTTAGTAGAGACAGGGTTTCACCATGTTGGTCAGGATGGTCTCGATCTCCTGACCTCGTGATCCACCCGCCTCAGCCTCCCAATGAAACCTATAACAAGAAGCCATCAGATGACCACGCTTTTATGGTAATAACTGACCTTTATGCATATACAACACACACTGTACTCAGCATAGACACCTAAGTGTTGCTAGCAAATGAAACTTTGATACATTAATCTGACATTTTTAACATGGTTAATTGTGTATAATTGTAACTGAACATAAATTATAATAAGTTGATGTAATGACTGCAATTAACCACCTCAAATTTCTTTTTAGAGGAAGCCAGGATAGAAATAAATAAATGAGTCAGAAGACTACAATTAACATTATTTTTATCAGCCAAACCATATTGTAATAGTTTCTCTCTTTTCTTTTTAGTTTGCCAGCACCTATAATTAGCATCAATATCAGCTGCTTCCACTGATACCACATATCTAGTGTAAAACTCATCACCCACCCTTACTGACAGTCCTAGACCCATTGCACTGCCTTACCACTAAAATAATACTCCCTGTGCACTCACTCTAAGGAGTCCATAACTAGTATATTTTCGTGTCTCTCAGAGTCTTAGTCCTAGACTGGAGGTACCAGAAGCTATACCCTGTCTGATCCTTTACTTCCCACTCCCCAATGGGATAAGGTAATAGGAAAAAGAATGTTCCAGCCAGTAAGAGATACCTTGACCAGGACATGGGGAGTGGGGTGAGATGGAGTATGTTACCTTTTGAACCCTTTCTTCCTACTTTTCATTTATCCTACTAGGAATAATCTCTCCTTTCAAACTTTACATTGCAAATAACTTCTTCAAAAGTCATCTCGAAACTCATCTTTTCTAGAATGCCTTCCTGAACAAACTTTATACCATTCTCAACCATTTGCTTCTTCTTCTGTCACCTCAGCACTTTCCTCTCTACTTCCACAATATTATTATTGAAAATGAAATCAAAGGATTACCCAAAATTAACATGTAAGCAGAAAGACAGAAGTTAAACCAGAGGAAGAACTTTGACCAGGACACTAAACAAAAGGCCCAGTTATCAAGACCTCTTTTTGGGGAATCAGAAAATCAGACGGCCCAGATGGTAGAGGAGAAAAAGACAGGATAAGCAGGCAAGCAGAAAGGAGACTCAGTGAATCATGGCACAGGAACTGTTTGCCTATGGCTATCCTCAGTGTGCCATCTCTGCAATATAATTTTGTAGGAAGGGTGACTATTCCTAAAAGCTAAGGAAAGATGAAGCACTCTCATACTTTGTAAGTGGGAATATAAATAGTACAGCCTCCATAGTGGGCAATTCTGTAACATATTTCAAAATTCAAATGCATTGTTAAATGTACAATGCTTTGGCCCAGCAATCGCACTTTTAGCTATTCATCCAACAGATATATTCACACATGTATAAAATTATGTATATAAAATATCAATTTCAGTATTGTAACTGCAAATACTGGAAGCAACTTAAATGTACATTAATAGCCATTCTAATCCTAGTATATACCCAAAAGAACTGAAAACAGCTATTCAAATACTTGTACACTGTTGTTCATAGCAGCACTATTCACAATAGCCAAAAGTGGTTTAAAAAAAAACATATTTCATCAACTATGAATGGATAAACAAAATATGGTATATCTGTACAATGAATTAGTATTCAGCCATAAGATGGGATAAAGGACTGATACATGCCACAATGGTGAATGCACCTCAAAAACATTATGCTGCTAAATAAACCAGTCACAAAAGGCCTAATACTATATGATTCCATTTATGTGAAATATCGAGAATGGGTAAATCCATAGAGACAGAAAGTAGATCAGTGGTTGCCAGCGGTGAGGGGTGGAGAGAATGGAGAGTGACCGTTTAATGGGTATGAGGTCTCCTTTGAGGGGGATAAAAATGTTTTGGAACTAGACAGGTAATGGTTCTACAATTTATGAATGTACTAAATGTCACTAAATTATATATTTAAAATGGTTTATTTTATGCTACATGAGTTTCACCTCAATTTTTAAAATGTCCATTATTATGAACCTGTTCCCTACATGTAGTCATACATATTATATGATAAAAAGCAAGACACTAAACACAGTTCATAGCATACTACCATTCATGGGGGTGGGGGAATATATATTTATATGTTTGTGAATGCATAAACTCTTTCTAGAGAAATCCACAGTAAATGGCAGTAGTGGTTACCTCTGGGTAGAAACTGTATGGCTAAAGGACAGGGTACAGAAAAAAAGCTGTTTTTCATAGCATACATTTTTACATCGAATTTTGTACCTTATGCACATGTTTCCTTTCAAAAAATAAAATAAAATGGGGAAAATATCCTACTTATAAGATAAACAAGAATCAGCTACCTATGGAACTCCAGAATGATTAGGATGCTTTAATGCAAGAGCCAATATAGAAGGCTCAGACAAAAAAAAAAAGTGGCAAAAAGGTAGAAGAAGGTGGCAAAAGAAGTATATGACCTGGGGACCTATGCCTTCTGGGATTTTAAAAATGAGAAGGAGAAATAGAGGACATTGAAGAAGTGGATGAATCTGCAGAGTGGAGGCCAGCTGGTCATGCAATCCTATTTTCCTGCAGGGCATGTGGTCCTGGGTAAATAAGTAAAAAGTAATCATAAGGCTCTTCTGCTTCCAGTGTTCACAGAAACAGGTCTTCCATCACAGCAACAAAATTTTAGCCACCAAAATCTTAAGCGGCTCAAAACTTTCAATTCTACGACACATTTAAACAGAGAGAAGGTGATAGATGATAATGAGGACTCTACGTATCTGGAGTAAAAGAAAGAAAAGGCTCCCAAAGAAATGAATCTGCCAAACTGGGCGAGCCCTGTACATCTTGGCTTTTTGAAGGCCAACAACAACAAGAGGATTCATTTCCTCTGGCAGATTAGCAAGTACAACTATGACATCACTGTACTCTAAGCCAGTGTGTCCTGCATCTTTGTAATCCTCTCCTCATTCTTTTCATTTATACTACTGTGAACAATCTCTCATTTCAATGAACACATCTCGATTAGTTCTTTCAAAAGTAATTTCTAAACATATGTTTCTGGAAAGCCTTCTTGAACAAACTTTATGCCATTCTTAACCATTTATTTATTCCTTTGCCACCTCGGGACTTTCCTTCTTTCCATGGTATTACTGTGTACCCATTGAGGGTACTTTCCATGGTATTACTGTGTACCCATTGAGGGTACTTTCCATGGTATTACTGTGTACACAATGTGAATATGTAATTATAAATTACATATTCAAGTTGCTGTCTTTGTATATTTACCTCTTCGGACTTGAGTCTAGGTTGTGATTCAGATCTTTTGATTGTTTTTGCATTCTCCCATTAATTCTTTCCTAGCCTCTGCAAATATACTCCCTGGTTTACATAGCTACTCACTAAGAACAAGAACCCCCCGAGAAAATATAAAAGCCTTTGCAAAGGAGAAAATGAAAAGCTCTATAATGGATAAGCTCCTTTGTACTTCAGGGCTCTGGATTTCTTTTCTGTAATGCTGAAGTCTCAAAGCTTCACAGGAAAAATTAGGAAAAGTATGACAGTTCTCTGTCTGGCATCTGCTTCAATGTCATTTCTACTAGGGATACCCCTGAGCATTCTAATGCTTATAAATTACCTTACAATATAGCCAACAAAGCTTTAGCTATTGCCAAACTCATGTCTCAATCGCCTGAATATGAGTCTAGTAGTCACAATTACAGAAGCTTTCTAGCAATCTACAAGCTCTGGAGAAAGTAAATTTCCAACCCAAAGAAAAAGGATGCCATCTTCCAGAAAATACTGCAAATTACACTCTTATTCAATGATCATTGTTTTTTTTCCTCTAAAGGTTAAATTGTCTTTCCCTAAAACCTGGATGGGATGAGGTCCCTCAGGGGCAAACAACCAAGCGTCACTCCCTGAGTACCTAACATATCAGACAGCAAAACTAAGAAACCAAAGACTATGTCCCTACACTTGCAATTCACCAGTCCCATATGAAGGAAAACACTGTCACTCAGGGAGCATGATAAATCTAAGAAAAACTTCTGAGTACATTACTAAACTATACTAAAGGATAATGATGAGTGGTAGGCTAATGGGTATTAGTTTCATTATTATGCTCTAAAACTTTTGTATTTTACATTTATTCTTTTGTAATTCAGACAAAAAGAACAATTTGGCCTTTGTGGGAGGGAAAACAATTATCATTGAAAGACACCGCATAATTAAATTTTTGACTCATTTTTTAAAAATAAAAATTAAAATGTTGGGGGAATATACACGAAACTGTGAAGACTAGTTATCCCGGAGTGGAATAGAGGGGGAAATTGAAGAGTACTTTCACTTTCTATATTACACATTTCTGAATCATTTGAAGACTTTTATAGTACCCATGTTACGTATTTCTATTTTTTACAAAGTTTAAAATAAGAAAGGGACTCAGTATGTTGGAAGAGGAAAAAAATAACTCTTCACAACACCACAAAAAGTGACCACAACGAATTCAAAATTAGTGAGGAAACTAACATATTCTATGGACATAAACTGCAGAAGTTCTTGACCCAGGAATAAATGTGTGAAAGTCATTCTAGGAGGGTGAGTGCAGACAGAGGAAACATTTCTATTGTACTCAAGGCCAGGATTTTGGGAAACAGATCTTTGCTATGGAAAGCAACAGGGAAAATAAAATAAACCATCTATTCCCTATGCCTTTTTTTTTTTTTTTTTTTGAGACAGGCTCTCACTCTGTCACCCAGGCTGGAGTGCAGTGGCATAATCTTGGCTCATTGCAGTCTCAACTTCCTGGGCTGAAGTGATCCTCCCGCTTCAGCCTCCCATGTAGCTGGGACTACAGGCACACACCACCACACCAGGCTAATTTTTGTATTTTTTGTAGAGATCGGGTTTCATCATGTTGCTCAGGCTGGTCTCGAACTCCTGAGCTCAAACAACCTGCCCACTTCAGCCTCCCAAAGTGCTGGGATTACAGGCACAAGCCATTGCACCTAGCCCCTGTGGCTTTTAAATAAATCCTTAGAACAGAGTGAGAACCCAAAAAAGACACTGATCAAGAAGTATTCAAATCTCAACTATAAGTTAGCTGTGGACATTTTATTGTAGTATTTGGTACTCTAAAACCAATTCAGGCCGGGCACAGTGGCTCACTGTAATCCCAGCATTTTGGGAGGCTGAGGCAGGCAGATCATTTGATGTCAGGAGTTCAAGACCAGCCTAGTCAACATTGTGAAACGCTGTCTCTATTAAAACTACAAAAATTAGCCAGGTGTGGTTGCAGGCGCCTGTAATCCCAGCTACTCAGGAGGTTGAGGAAGGGGAATCACTTAAACCCAGGAGGCGGAGGTCACAGTGAGCCGAGATCACACCACTACGCTCCAACCTGGGCAACAAAGCGAGACTCCATCTCAGAATAAATGAATGAGTAAATAAAACCAATTCAAAGGATGGAAAGAATAATCAAAAGATCTCTCTAATGTATATACCTGTATATTCGAACAGCAGTAAAACCTCTTGAATGATTCACAAGAAAATGCTAACGATGATTACCTCTGGGGAGAAGACCCAAGTGGCTGGGGAATAGGAACAGGAGGGAGACTTTTTACTATACTCCCTTTAATATTTTAAAACTCCTATACAAAGTATATTACCTATTCAATAAATGAATTAATTTTAATTAAAACAAAGGGCAGTAGCCACGTAAGAAAAGCACATATTTCTGAATGGCAAATTATATCCCATGAGATTTTTGCCACCACAGGGTGGTGGTATAGCGGAAAGAACACAGACATTTGAGTCAAGCTGACCAAAGTTTTAACTCTAGTTTACCCATTTCCTAGAAACAAGTGATGCAGAAAAAGATAACTGGTTGGGAGACTTGGGAGAAAAAAAGACTCTGAGCTGCTCTTCACAATACCATGCAAAGTGGCCATCAAGAATTCATAACTTTATCCAGCCAAGGTAAAGAAAAGAAAAAAAAAGAATTCAAAACTAACAAGAAAACCAATACATTCTACAACTTTAAATCACAAATGACTTTGAGAGTGCAGAATTTTAACCTAGAGGACACTGAACAAAAAGCTCCAAACCCATGATATCTATTGAAGTATGATTTCACAGTATGACAAAAAATGATTGGGAAAGTTATGGAGCTGGACATCTCTTTTATGGGGGAGCACTGCAATTTGGATGCAGCCAAAGGCCAGCTGGTGTAGGGACTAAATAGCCCACTCACAGGGCCCTGAATTTAAGTGAACAGCATACATATTATATTATGGCTTCAAGAAGTGGATACATTTATAATTAAACCCAAGGTAGCAATGTCCCAGAGGAACCTGGGCATCAGGAGAGAGTTCAATAATCTCTCAGGTCTCCCAGGATTATCTTTGGCATTTGTCCCCCAAATTTCATTGTGGGGCATTCTTTATGAAGGCTGTCAGAAGTCCTAGCAGGCCATCCTAATGTCTTCAAAGGGCCTGCCACAGAATAAGAACATGTCATTATAAGGGGATACAGAGGACAGATTTTCTGAGTTCTGTCCCTTCAAAATTCAATTATGGTGAGAGATTCTGGTTCTCTTTAAGGCATTATTAGGAACATGGATTAATCTACTATATGCTCTTGAATCTGTAAGACATGCAAATTCTTGACTGGGTGTGGTGGCTCACACCTGTAATCACAGCAGTTTGGGAGGCTAAGGCAGAGGATAGCTTGAGGCCAGGAGTTTGAGACCAGCCTGGGCAACATAGTGAGACCCCCATTTCTACAAAAAAAGAAAAGAAAAGAATGCTAGTACTAGTTGAGAGTGCGAGGCCACAAAGCTCTCTAAGAGATATATCTCCTGATAGGCAGGGGTTATCAGTATGGTGGCTACTGTCATACGGAAAATAAGTAATACAGATCCAGATTTCTAACCAGGCTTCTTTTTTACTTGGAGCTGTGCGAGGTAGTTAGGTCTGATGGTCAGGAAGCACTAGATCCTCTCAAGATGGTGTTCTCTGGCATGAAATGGTGGAGTGATAGTCCCATACTCTACATGATCAAGCTTTGACACAGTAATTGCCACTTGGGTCAGCTCCCTCTGGCTGTGGTGGGTCCAGAATAAAAGAAAGGTATCCTGGACCAAAAACGAGTGGACAACATTTCCTGTTCTACTTAAAGTCTATAAGACCCAACTACGAAAGCAAGTCCTAGCCTCCATTGAGAGGCGGCCAACACAGCCCACAGGCCTAAAGCTAGTCTTGTTTCTGGTAGGTGTGAAAATGAGACTAAGAGAAGCACTGGCAGTACCTGCCTAGCGTTTTTTTTGTGGTTGATTTTAGTTGGGGATTATACCATCATCACTTGTAGAGCAGGCAGGAACCTAATCGTCCAAGTGGGGAATACCTAGTTACATATACAGAATGACCCATTTCTCTGCCTCCCCTAACAGGTAGAATATTAGAAATAAGACAGGTAATAGAGTGGCAGTGAACAGTTTTAGATGGAGACCAAGAATAATAAGAGGCTATAAGAGGAGTATTTGAATATGGTGCACACTAGGAATATGAATATCAGGTCTAATGGCTGAAAACTAGTGGAAAGCATTGAAAACCTACTGCTTGCCATCTAAGAATCAACAAATATCAACGCAATGGACACTAGGACCAGGACATTTGACAGTAAGAGTTGAAAATGAGGAAAGGTAAGTAATTTTATTAAACATGCCTCTTTTGGATATGCTGGTAAAAGAAATTCTTCTGAAGTTTGTGGTGGTCAAATAATTTGTCACAACCCAGCAACTAAGCAGTATATTACTGACAATGCTTCTGAATGTTTGGTCACTTGTTATTCATGATATGACTCACATCCAACTGTTCTGAACTGATTCATTCTTCAAGAAAATTTTTAAACAATATGTTGGGTTATGCCGTTTTACTAATTTAAAAGAATGATTCGTACTCAGGACATTTTGGTTTATGATTTGTATAGATCACTAATTATAGGCAATACTGTAAGAAAACCAGTGAAACAAACCCTTAATAGATAACCAGAAAAATCTCTTTGAAACTCCAAGGTGGGCTATATCTCAAGCAAAAGTTCAAGCTATCTTTTAGATCATAATACATATAGAAATAACATAGACCCCAGAAGCTTTTTGTTTCAGACACGGTAAGTAGTTAAGGGAGGCTTTAGGGATATCATTAATAAAAGGTACACTGCAACTCTAAAAGCTACGTGGAATTTTCAGTGAAGGAATCACTGGTATTGTTGAACTAAACTATGTCAATCTCAACAATAAATTATCATTCAACTAAGTCTCAAATTCAAACTAAAAAAGTGAATCTACAATAACTTGCTTCTGTATTGTCAGGCTTGGGTTATTTTAAAATATTTATCCCTTTTAAAATTATTATAAAACAAATGCATGTTCTTTGGAGGAAATCTGGAAAGTACAATAAAGTATAAAGAAAAAATAAAACAGGCCGGGCGTGGTGGCTCACGCCTGTAATCCCAACACTTTGGGAGGCCGAGGTGGGTAGATCACTTGAGGTCAGGAGTTCGAGGCCAGCCTGGCCAACATGGTGAAACCCTGTCTCTACTAAAAATACAAAAATTAGCCACGTGTGGTGGTAGGTGCCTGTAATCCCAGCTACTCGAGAGGCTGAGGCAGGAGAATTGCTTGAACCTAGGAGGCAAAGGTTGCAGTGACCCAAGATTCTGCCACTGCACTCCAGCCTGGACGACAGAGTGAGACTCCATCTCAAAAAAAAAAAACAAAAACAAAAAAAAACAAAAAAAACAAAATGAAACAACCAAAAAAAAAAACAAAAAAATTATATTTCCTTGTGGTTTTTCTACGTACATATGTATATAATTTATTTCTTAGATAACTGAGATCATCTTAATCAGGTTAGGATCCTATTTTTTAGAACTTATACACATAAATATTTCCTCTATCTTAAAAATTTATGTAAAAGTATACAATTCCATCATATGGAAATACCATAATTATCCATTCTTCCTTTCTTTGTAATTTTTCACTATTATAAATAAAACCTATACATAAATCTTCCTTTGAACCTCTAGTTATTTTCCTTGAATACTTCCTAGAAGTAAAATCACTGAGTTAGAAAGGTTGTACTAATTTACACACCCTAGCAGTTTCACCACGTTGGCCAGGATGGTTTTGATGTAAGTAGTCATCTCACCAAACCTTCGTCACATGCTAAATCACTTTTGATTCAATTCTCAATTGTAGCCAGTGATACTGTCATTAATACAGTGGGTGGGCAAGGCAGACATGTATAAAAATTGAAAAGAGCAGAAAGTTGTTGAATTTAGTAGTAGTCAGACTGGTATGGCAACATGGTGTGTTGCTACATTCTTTGACAAGATATAGGTAGAAATATTATCCTTATTGAAGAGTGAAGTGTAAATACCTTAGAAACTTTAGGTATGTTTGGAAAAGGAACAGACCAGTTTATCCCTCTAGCTCAACTTCTGACCATTTAGCCTTGTGGCTAAATGTTTATATTATACTGATACCATTTGTTGCAAGATTTGTATCAAATATGCAAATCAGATTGCACAGCCTCAGAACAGCTCTATAAATTGAGGAGCAATAAGACCTGCAAAAGTAAACATGATGTACTGAGGCTCAAGCATGCAAAAAGCCACATGCGTCTCCTGGCATCTGCTACCAACTCCCAGCTGAGGCCACATCTGAAGAACATATCCTAAAAGAAAGTATATCCACTTTCTAATGTGAATATATAAAATCTAATCTGCTAAAAGGAAGGAAAGTAATGGGAACATGTGGTGGTAGTAAGAATGATTTTAACAAAGATGCAGAGGCAATTTAATGGGGGGAGAAATGTCCTTTTTTTTTTTTTTTTTTTTGAAATGGAGTCTCACTCTGTCATCCAGGCTGGAGTGCAGTGGCGCAATCTCGGCTCACTAAAACCTCCACCTCCCAGGTTCAAGCCATTCTCCTGTCTCAGCCTCCTGAGTAGCTGAGACTACAGGTGTACACCACCACACCCAGCTAACTTTTGTATTTTTAGTAGAGATGGGGTTTCACCATGTTGGCCAGGATGGTCTCGATCTCCTGACCTCGTGATCCACCTGCCTCGGCCTCCCAGAGTGCTGGGATTACAGGCATGAGCCACCGTGCCTGGCCGAAAATGCCTTTTTAACAAATGGTCTTAGGACAACTGGAAATCCACATGCAAAAAGACGATCTTCACTCAAATCACACCACATACAAATGCAATGTGTGAACCTTGATTAACTTCTACAATGGTGCAAAAAGGACAAGAAAGTTTGGGGGAAAACTGGGGATATTTGAATATAGGATAGATACTGATGACATTATAAAATTTTGTTAAATTTTTGGTGTGCTGGTGGTTTTGTAATCTTATGTGAGTTTATATTCTAAGGTTAAAAAAAAACTTTCAAGAATCTTAAAGACTGTTGTCTTATTGTTGATAATAGCACTGGGTATATTAATCCTAAAATTTGTTTGTGTACATTACAGGACACAGCAAATGAATAAATAATTTGATGTTCTTGGGAACAGAGGTTCTCACTGGAAGATATACATGTATATGTGTGTGTATATACACATGTGTGTATATATGTGTATATATATGTGCATAATACACAAACACATACATACACACACACACACACACACACATATATATACATAGAGAGAGAGAGAATATATGAAAGGAGACCAGGAAAACCTTGTGATGAGGGTGTTAATTGGTGATACCAGTATGAAGAACATAGTGTGTTCCCTAGTTCCATCCAAAGAGCCAAGAAGCAAGAGCCCTCCTGTAGCAACGAGCAAAACTAGTGCCAAGATCTTGATTTTTAAATACCATTCCCCACTAAAAATAACCAGCCTCATTGGAGAAATGACTTATTCTAGGACTGAGAAGGCAAAGTACAAGATGAGCTTGGAATATTTTGTACTAAGGAAGGAAGGAAGTGGTCAAAGAATGATAGGGCCATGTCAAAAGGACACAGGATCTAGTTAAAAGGAACACCCATAGGCCAAATTCAGGACAATTTGAGCATCAAAGAAAATGGCAGAACAGGATTACAAAACACTGGGTTCAAAAAAAAAAATCATGTGTCCATAGTGATACTCATTTTAAAAGAGGGGTGGGGGTATGCGAAGAAGGAAAGCTCTTCTTTACAAAAGACTGACAACTGTTCAGTATAATAACAGTGTGACACAATAAGAAATAAATATTTGGTCTCTGCCTGCAGTTCTTGGCACAGAGCTTCTAAAACCCTTTTAACTCCTTGAGTGATAGGGATAAGACTGTCTTTTGTTATTCATAGTAAGCCCCTTTCAATCATACCTGAGTTAATGCTAATGTGATAACTCCTGGAGGATGGAGGCTAGTTGCCAAAAGAACCAACTTTGTGATTAGAGGGTTAGAACTTTCAGTCCCACCCCACAAACTCCAGGGAGAAAAGAGGGGCTGAAGGTTGAGCCAATTAATCATCAATGATCAATGATTTAACCAATCATACTTACATAATGATGTGTCCGTGAAAACCCCAGCCAAAGGGGTTTAGAGAGTTTCCACACTGGTGAACAAAAATGCACCCACAGGGAGAGTAGTGCACCCAAAACTCCACAGGGACAGAAGTTCCTGTGCTCAGACCCTTCTGGACTTCCTCCAATGTATCATTTCATCTGGCTATTTGTTTGTATCCTTTAAAATATCCTTTTAATCAATCGGTAATACCAAATTAACTGTTTTCCTGGGTTCTGTGAGCCATCCTAGCAAATTATTGAACCTGAGGAGGGGCTTGTGGGAACTCCAGTTTATAGCCAGTTGGTCAGAAGTTCAGGCAGTAACCTGGGATTTATGATTGGTCTCTAAAGTGGGAGGCAGTCTTGTGGGACTGAGCCCTTAACCTGTAGGGTCTGCACTAACTCCACATCTCTAGTGTCAGAATTAAGTCATGAGACACTCAGTTGATGTTAGCAGAGAATTGCTTGGTATGGAAAACATACTTGGTGTCAGAATTGTGCAAGTATAGAGAAACCATTTTTTCCTTTTAAAAAAGAATGACAGAATTAGAAAATCATCATTTTGCAACCACAGTGTAATAATAAATTTAGGCAATGATCATAATACATCCTAAAACTAATGCATGGAAGTTTATTTAAATAAAAGCAGTATACACACAGTCTCAAAGTATCACTGCCACTACACACTTAGTTACAAAGGAGAAAAATATCTTTGCAACAAAGAGATCTGGAAAACATCATCTGAACTAATAATTAACATCAGCATCACAAATAAAGGGACAAATTGACATCAGCTGTGCAGTAACCTGAATCTAATTACGAGGAAATAATCAGACAAATCCAGATTTTAGGAAATTTTTTCCGAGACAGAGTCTCGCTCTGTCGCCCAGGCTGGAGTACAGTGGTGCAATCTTGGCTCACCGCAACCTCCGTCTCACGGGTTCAAGCAATTCTTCTGCCTCAGCCTCCCGAGTAGCTAGGATTACAGGTGCCCGCCACCACACCTGGCTAATTTTTTGTATTTTTAGTATAGATGGGGTTTCACTGTGTTAGCCAGGATGGTCTCGATCTCTTGACCTCATGATCTGCCTGCCTCAGCCTCCCAAAGTGCTGGGATTACAGGCGTGAGCCACTGTGCCCAACCAGGAAATTTTGTTAAGACAATTTAACTAGATCCTTGTCAGCTGTCTTGTAGAATGTCTATGTCAATGTGGGACCCAGCAACCTTTGGGAGAGCAATTGTTGGTGAAGAGAGGTCACTCCTTCCCCTCTCCACCTCCTGGGGAGGGGAAAAACGAATGTTTTTCTGCTCTGAATCCAAGTGAGGAGGAGCTTCATAATTCACAAAGGTTAGGGATGCCTACAAGAATGGGAGTGGAGCCAGACAGGTTGGATGTCTGCTTGGACAGGAGACTTGCTGATGTGAACTGTGTACTTTTCTAAGCAGCCAAAAAGAACAGAGGAGGCAGAGCTGGGAGACAGAGAAGAGAATGGAACTGCTTGCCTATATCCTTTGTTTCTCAGGGCAAGAATAATTGAGTTCCCATGGGTCATGTGAATTCTGTGGAATGTGGGTGAGTCCCAGTTATCTTGATATTTCCCCATTCAAGAAGCCTCTAAGTAACAGGATACCAGCAGCAACAAGCTAAGTACATCTTTTGGTAGTAGTCAATAGCAGGACAAAAGAAGTTGAACCAGAGCAATCACTCACATAAGACCCCAGGGAGTCCCCAAAAGTAACCTTTGGAGACTCACACCTGCACCCCATTGAGAAAGCCAGCACTCACCTACACCTCAGAGGGCAGGAACAACCAAGCAATATCAGCCAGAGAGGCAACAACCACCAACAAAGAGATCAATATGTCTCCTAGGAAAACTAATGTTATCACTCTTAGAAGACATATTCATCCTTCAGTCTCAACCTAAGTCTTGCCCCTGTCCCATGAAGACTGCTCTGAATACTGACACAGCATGTGAATAAGATACTGCAGTGTTTCTGCACATGTAACCCAGAACTTAAAGCATAATAATTTTTAAAAAGACACTGCAGTGAAGTGACTGCCCATGGCATGGATGTGTCTTTGTGAACTGGCATTCATCAAGATAGTCCAGGTCTCCTCCAGTCCTTAGTCACTCGGACACAGAGAACACTTCTGAGAGAGACATTTCTTATTCCTGCCCAAGTGGTTCCAATAGGACCAGAGGCTCACTTTCCCACTTCTAGAAAGCCCAAGACTCATTTTGGAGCAAGTGCAACTTGGAGCATAGGAATCTCTTTGTGATGGTCCATCTGCCTAAGACACAACACCTAGCCATCCCCTCTTTGACTCCTGCTGCTTCACCAGTGCCCTAACACAGAAAGCAGACACAAGGTCCCAATGTATCTCCCCTGGTCACTTTCTTTCTTTCTCTCCTCATTCTCTTGCATTTCTCTCCTCTCATTCAAGTCAAAAGAAGCTCTTCTTAGAAATTGGGAGATTCAGGTGAAACTCTGCTCCCTCTCATAATATTTGTCCAGAACACTTTGCATACTCTCCTAAAATCTTAGGCTTTGGGAAGTTAAAACCACAAAGATCACTTCTTCTGCTCTCTGCCTTACCTTTCTTTCAAGAAATGGGCACAAGTCAGCCTAAATGCTAGAAATGGTAATAAAATGGGGGATAAAAAACAGATGGACATAATAAATCACAATAATTACCCTACAACATTTTAAAATAAATATATCAGTTACCAAATGAGACAAAAACTTCACAGGATAAAAGTGAATGCAGAATGTTGTTACTGAATGCTAAAAGAGAAAGGCTTGACCTGAGACAAAGGGGAAAAGCAGATAGTTTGCCTCAATACTTTTAAAGAATCCCATCACCTTTAAGAGTATATCCAAATAACTGGGGCTAGAGTAACTCCTTTTATTTTTTTACTTTTTAAACTTATTTATTTTTAAATAGAGACAGGGTCTCGCTATGTTGCCCAGGCTGGTTTCAAACTGCTGGCCTCAAGTGATTCTCCTGCCTTGGCCTCCCAAAGTGCTGGGATTACAGGCATGAGCCACCACTTCCAGCCACAGTAACTCTTGTATCAAAGGGAGAGTTTCTTTAGAGCAGTAGCCCAGTGATTTCTGAAAATACTTTGGAAACATCTTATAAATGGCCGCAGAGGATTGATCCTAACACACTGGGTAGTGGAGGGGCCATCCACATGAAGGAATCTGAGGACTAGGAAGTAATAGAGTCATATGATGTGCTACAGCTGGAAAAGTCCTAGAGATCATCTAGAACACCACCTCCATTTATTACTTCAAGAAACTGAAGTTAACAGTGGGATGACTTCCAAAGTCACAGAGAGAGAGCAGCAAACCCAGGTTAAGAACAAGGACTCAACTGGGCTTGGTGGCTCAACGCCTATAATCCCAGCACTTTTGGAGACCAAGCCAGGCAGATCACTTGAGGTCAGGAGTTCAAGACCAGCCTGGCCAACAAAAATACAAAAATTAGCCGGGTGTGATGACACATGACTGTGGTCCCAGCTACTCGGAGGCTGAGGCAGGAGAATCACTTGAACCAGGGAGACGGAGGTTGCCGTGAGCCAAGATCGTGTCACTGCACTCCAGTCTGGGTGACAGAGTGAGAGAGACTCCATCGCAAAAAAAGGAAAAAGAATGAACAAGAACTCAATTACTTTTCTTAATAATAACTTTGTTTTTAATTGTAGAGATGGGGGTCTCACTATGTTGCTTGGACTAGTCTTGAACTTCAGCCTTAAGCCATCCTCCCGCTGCAGCCTCCCAAAATGCTGAAATTACAAGCATGAGCCACTGTGCCTGGCCAATAATAACTTTTAACTATTAAAAAAAATTTAAGGCCACAATCCCATATCCTAGAGACAAATTTGGTTAATATTTTGATCATTCTTTTCCTAGTAATTTTTCTTATAATTGTATAGATGCATTTACATAGTGTATACATCTGCTCAGGCTGCCATAACAAAATACCATAGGCTGGGGAGCTTAAACAACAACAATTTATTTTCTCACAGTCTGAGGCTGGAAAGCCCAAGGTCAATGTTCCCATAAGGTTTGGTTTCTGGTGAACAGTCTCTTCCTGGCTTGCAGATGGTCACCTTTTTGCTGTGTCCTCACATGGTGGAGAGAGCAAGCTCTGGTGTCTCTTCTTCTTAAATGGGCCCCAGCCCTGTCAGATTAGGGCTCCATCCTTATGACCTCATTTAACTTTTATCACTTCCTCACAGGTCCTATGTCCAAATACAGTCAAACTGGGGACTAGGGCTTCAACATATGAATTTGGAGGGGACACAATCAAGTTCATACAATTCTGCCCCAGCCCCCCATAATTCATGTCTTTATCCACACAAGATACATTCATTCCATCCCAACAGCCCCAAGTCTTAACTCATTCAATTTCCACTTCAAAGTCTAAAGTCCCAAGTCTTATCTAATTATCATCTAAATAAGACGAGTGATCTTGAGTAAAGAGTCATCCTAAAGCGAAATGCATTTCCAGCTATAAACCTGCGAAACCAGACAAGTTATGTGCTTCCAAAATACAATCGTAGGGCAGACATAGGCTAGACATTCCCATTCCAAAAGAGAGAAACAGGGAAGAAAGGAAGGGGTGACAGGTCCTAAGCAAGTCCAAAGCCTACCAAGGTGAATTCCATTAGATCTAAGACTCAAGAATAATTCTCTTTGGCTTGATATATCTGCCTCCTTGGCTTTTCAGGAGCTGCCTCACTGTGATAAGCCTGCCCTCTTACATAATGAAGTAAATGACCTTGCCCCCAGGTCTGTGGTGAGGGGGGCAGCCCTGATGACCTCTGTCACCTTTGAGGGTAATTCTTTCCTTTCCCTGGAAAATAGCACAGATTCACAGTCAAATAGCTCTATGGTCCAGTCTTCTAGAACCTAAGAAGTCCAACAGTCTTTCTTCATTCATTTCTGTCCTCTTGCATTTTACTACAAGCAGTAAGGGAAAGCCACATCACATCTTCAAAACATTGCTTAGAAATTTCTTCTGCTAAATATGCAATTTAATTGCTCTCAGGTTCTACCTTCTACAAAACACTAGAACACAATTCAGCCAAGTTCTTTGCCACCTTATAACAAGGATCATCCTTCTTCCAGTTATTTCCTTATTATTATTATTAACTGCTTCTATCTGAGATCTCACAAAAATTGCCTTTAATATCTACACTCATACCAACATTCTGATCATGATTAATTACACATTCTCTAAGATGGAAGTTTTCTCTGTAGCTCTCCTCTTTTCTTTCTAAGCCCTCACCAGAATCACCTTTCATGTCCATATTTCTAACAATAACCCCTTCATGGAAATCTCAGTTTTTTCTAGCATGCACCTCAAAACTCTTCCAGCCTCTACCCATCACCCAGTTCCAAAGCTACTTGCAAATTTTTTGGTATTTGTTTCAGCAACAATCCACCTCTTAGTACCAAAATCTGCAGTAGTCTTCTTGGATTGCCTTAACGAAATCACTTAGACTGGGTGTCTTAAGTAACAGAAATTTATTTCTCACAGTTCTGGAGGCTAGAAAGTCCAAGATCAAGGGGCTGGCTAGCTGATTCAATTCCTGGTGAGGGCTTTCTTCCTGGCTTACAGATGGCTACCTTCTTACTGTGTCCTCACTTGGTAGGGATGGAGCTCTGCTATCTCTTCTTCTTATGAGGGCACCAGCCCTATCAGATTATGACCTCACTTAACCTTTATCACCTCCTCACAGGCCCTGTCTCCAAATATAATAATATTGAGTGTTGAGGCTTCAATATATAAATGGGGGGTAGACACAATTAAGTTCTCAGCAATAAGTCTTAAATTGCTTATGTATATATATACATAAACACACACACACACTGAGGGTTTTAAGTTGACCCTTAAATAACATAAGCTTGAACTGCATGAGTCCTCTTATGGATCTTTTTCAATGAGACAGATAGAAAATGCAGGATGTGAAACCTGCATATACAGAGGGCCAAGTTTTCATATAGGTGGGTTCCTCAGGGCCAAGTGAGGAATTTGAGTATGCACGGATTTTGGTACGTGCAGGGGTCCTGGAAGCAATCCCCCAAGTATACTGAGGGATAACTGTAATACTTTTTTTTTTTTTTACCAAGTTCCATGAAAATGTTCCTATTATTCAAAGCATGATTTTTAATAAATGCATAATATTCTATCTTAAGGACTATTATTTTTTACTGCTGTTTAACTATTAAGTCATTTTCAAATTTTGCTACTTAAATAATTCTGCAGTGAACATCTTTGCACATATATCTTTGTCTGCTGTGATGACTGAGGATAAATTTCCAGAAATTCAGCTGCTGAGTCAAAGCCTATTCCTATTCAAAGACTTGGTACATATTGCTAAACTGCTTCCCAGAAACCTGTAAGAAGGTATACCCCCATATGAATAGAGATTATAATTAGAATAAACTATTTTTGTAAATAAAAAAAGATCAATATCATAAATGACCAAAAAGGCAAAGTTTTGTTTTTGTATTGGTTTGGTTTGGTTTTTTTTGAGACAGGGTCTCACTCTGTTACCCAGGCTGGGGTGCAGTGGCATGATCACGGCTCACTGCAGCCTCAATCTCCCCAGGCTCAGGTGATCCTCCTGGCTCAGTCTCCCAAGTAGCTGGGACTACAGGTATGCACCACTATGCCTGACTAATTTTTGTATTTTTTTATAGAGATGATGTTTTGCCATGTTGCCCGGATTGGTCTAGAACTCCTGGGCTCAAGTGATCCACCCGTCTCCACCTTGCAGAGTCCTGGGATTACAGGTGTGAGCCACAGTGCGTGGCCAGATTTTTTTTTATTATATTAAAGAAGACTAGGCCAAGTGCGGTGGTTCATGTCTGTAATCCCAGCACTTTTGGAGGCTGAGGTGGGCGGATCACTGGAGGTCAGGAGTTCAAGAACAGCCTGGCCAACATAGTGAAACCCTGTCTCTACTAAAAATACAAAAAAATTAGCTGGGAGTGGTAGCATGGCCTGTAGTTCTAGCTACTCAGGAGGCTGAGGCAGGAGAATTGGTTGAACCCAGGAGGCAAAGCTTACAGCCAGCCAAGATCATGCCACTGCACTCCAGCCTGGATGATGGAGCAAGACTCCTTCTCAAGAAAGGAAAGAAAGAAAAAAGAGAAAAGTGAAAAGAGAAAAGGAAAAGAAAGGAAAAGGAAAAGGAAAGGAAAGGAAGGGAAAGGAAAGAAGGAAGGAGAGAGAAAGAAAAGAACAAAGAAAAGAAAAGGAATGAAGGAAAGAAGGTAGGTTAAAGAGACAGGACAATAAATGAAATGTATGGTTATTGATTAGATCATGGCGGGGGAAGGCTATGAAAGTATATCAAAGAGATATCTGCACTCCTATGTTTGTTGCAGCAATGTTCGCAATAGGCAAGATTTGAAAGCAGCCTAAGCTTCCATCAACAGATGAATGGAAAAGGAAAATGTAGTACATAAACACAATGTAGTACTATTTATCCATAAAAAAAAAGAATGAGATCCTGTCATTTGCAACAATATGGATGAAACTGGAGGACATTATGTTGTGTGAAATAAGCCAGGCACAGAAAGACAAACTTCACATGTTCTCACTCGTTTGTGGGAGCTAAAAATTAAAACAATTGAATTCATGGAGACAGAGAATAGAAGGATGATTAACAGAGGCTGGGAAGGGGAGTTAGGGGTAAGAGGAGATTAGGGACGGTTAATGCGTACAAAAATAGTTATCTAGAATGAGTAAGATCTAGTATTTGCTAGCACAATAGGGTGACTATGGTCAACAATAATTTATTACACATTTTTAAATAACTAAAAGAGTATAACTGGAATATTTGTAACACAAAGAAATGATAAATGCTTGAGGTGATGGATACCCCATTTACCTTGATGTGATTATTACATATTGTATGCCCGTATCAAAATACTCATGTATTCCATAAATACCTACTATGTACCCATAAAAATTAAAAAATAAATAAAATTTTTTAAAATATAAAAAAAGCTTTCAAAATATTTTTGGGGACAATTAGGGAGTTCTTAATATAGACTGTATTATAGACAATATTACTGTATCAGTCTTAAATTTCTTGATTGTGATCATGGTATTTCAGTTATGTTGACTTTCCTAGCTCTTAGCAGAAACACGCTGATGTGTTATAGCATGTGCAGCTTATATTCAAATGATTCAGAAAATACTTGTATTTTTGTGTATGTATGTATGGAGACAGAGATAAAGAAACATGAGAGAAAAATAAGAGGGGGATGAGGGAAAGAGCAAATCTGGCAAAATGCTTGTCACTGAACCTAGTAAAGGGTAATGAGCACTCTTGGTACTGTTCTTTCAACTTTTCTATAGGTTTAACATTTCTCAAAATAAAAATATACGAGGGAGCAGGCAAAAGACAAGAATGGCTTATTCACAGAAAAATAAAATAGCCTGTAAACATATGAAAAATGTATGGGAATAAAGTTGCTTGATTATTTAAGGTTTTTTATTTCCTCCTGCCCTCTTGGCATTTGCGCTTTAATCGCTTCAATTATATTTCATCAATGAGACCAGGAAGGAGTAGGAAGTAAAATCTCAATCTTTACATTTTGCTTCTCATTAGCAGTCGTGGAAAAAGGTTTAAAAGATTAAATCAATCACAATGAACTCATTACAATGAGTTTTGAAAAGGACCTGTAAACCTGAAAACCTGGTTTTGGATTCAGATTCTTCTGACCTCCTATGACCTTAAATGTTCGGTCCTAAACAGCAAAAAACAAAAGTTAGTAATAAATCATATGAAAAATAGGTTTTCTTTAAATAAAGAAAAAAAAGTTCACCTCTACCATTGGCCTTTACTTTTATCAGGAAAGTGGGCCTATAGAATGTACCAAATTGAAGGCAACCAACAGATTCACAAACCATGGACAAAGGTTTTCCTTTTCAGAAACAATATGAAGGAATCAATATAACACAGTGGTTCACACAGAGGTAGGAGCTACTAAGTCAGATTTTCTGTGTTTGAATATTTACTTCACCAGTTACTAGCTATGTGATTTGTGGCGAATTACTCAATCTATTTATGCTTCAGTTTCCTGCTCTCAAAAATGGGAACAACAGTAAAATCTGTCTTAGGGTTGTTGTGAAGTTTAAATAAATTAGAATACTTAAAGTCTCAGAATGGCATCTGGCATACTGTAAGACCTCAATAGTGTTAGCTGCTATGGTTTGTTTGTTTGTTTGTTTGTTTGTTTTGAAACAGGGTCTTGCTCTGTTGCCCAGGCTGCAGTGCAGTGGCACAATCATAGCTCACTACAGCCTCGATTTCCCAGGCTCAAGCCATCCTCCCACCTCAGCCTCCCAAGTATCTGGGACTACAGGCACATGCCATCACACTTGGTTTTTTTTTTTTTTTTTTTTTTTTTTGTAGAAATGAGGTATCTGTTTGTTGCCCAAACTGGTCTCAGACTCCTGGGCTCAAGAAATCCTCCTGCCTCAGCCTTCCAAAGTGCTGGGAACCATGCCCAGCCTACAGTTCTTATTATTACTAATATTACAACAACAAATGCTACAATCATTACCATCATCTTCAACTTGTAGTTGATGGAGTTTGGCATGAGATTCAGAAAAAACAGAGCAACACAAAAGTATCAAAATCCCCCCCCCCCGCATCCCCCTACACACACACACACACACACATATCACAGGTTGAAAAAGCGAAATAGATCAGACTCTAAGTCAGTCCTTTAGTGTCTCAAGCTGTTTTGAGGGAAACTGGGGAGAGGGTAACAATATACCAAAAACGTATGGCTCATTTCAATAATTAATCTGTGTGATCTTGACAAATCAATCTCAGGAGAAATAAGTCAATCATTTATCAAATTTTATTGAGGTATACTATGCATAGGTGTTGAGCCAAATGCAAAGAATATAAAATGGAACAATGTCTATGTCTTTTAAAACTTTGTGTTCATGTCAAAGAAATATATATATGTCATATGATGGATGTGCACACAGTAAAATGGAAGCACACAGGAGAGACCTAAGTTAGACTTGGGAGAAGGAGAAAACAGCACAAAGATTACCCAGAAGTGATGATATTTAAACTGAGCCTTAAAGAATAATAACAGGTAAACAGGGATAGAGGGGGTTAAATCATTCCTCCAGGGGTAGAAGCTAACAAATGTAGAAAAAAAGATGAGCCCTACTCCCCCCATACAAAACCGAAAAACGTCTCCCTAAAGCTAATAGATAGACAGCCATCAGAGAAAGGCGCCTGAACAGATGTGCTTCAGGAATATCTTCTGCTTACACACATGACATCTCCACCCTCCCCAGCTCAGAATAACCCATGTTCAGAGAAGCGACAGAAAGCTACAATTAAAAGAGATTCATAGACAAGTTTCTCACTTACAACACTGGGCGGCAGCAGTGGGCAATGGCTTCCTCTGGCTTTCTTCTTGACTAGAATACTAGAAGCAGAAAGGAGAAAATAAATAAATAAATACAATCAGAAGCCCAAGTAAAGACAGGGAAAAAAATCACAACTACCTATAAAAAGGTTTAGTGTTTGGAAACAAAATTTTTATTGAACAGAAACAGAACATCCTGCTCCTATTTTCTCTGTGTGATGTTGACATATAGGCCAGACTATTGGTTATGGCCCTGGCCAAGTGAGACAGGCTAAATAAAGCAGGATAATGAAGAACTGTCCTGACCAAGGGCACCTGGGCACCCACCTAGCTCTGCCAGGCAGCTGGAGAAGGTTTGGCCTTAGAATCCTTAGAATATTTCACAGCCCTCTGAGTTTTCCTGGGGCTAATGTATAGAAGATTTCCCCATTCAGGTGATGCAAGTGAAAACCTGTCTGGGGCTGTTTTCTCATTTTTAAGTAATAGTGCTTCTTTGCTCATAAGGTCACATGGGAAATAAGTGGAACTGCTTACCTAAGCATGTGGTGCAATATCTGGTATTTATAAGAGTTCCTCTCCCACTAGCACTGTAACCTCCGCCATCCCACCCACCACAACCACCACAAAAACAAGTACACGGTACTGAAGACATAAGACAATGTTCCATAAAAGGAAAAGAATTATGTCCAAATCTTGAGGATGGGCCCGATTTAGAAGGCAAAACAGAAAGAGAAAGGCACAAACAAATTAACAGGGGTACACAGAGTCTGGAAGACAGTGAGAATAGTCTGGTTCAGGGTCCATTGGATAATTAGAAAAATGTAACTCAGCCAGGCAACTTGCAAACATGAGATTTGGAGTTCTCATCCTGACGTGGTCACTTATTCATAAGCTATGAGATCTGAGGCAAGTCAATGCTTCTCTAAAACTGCCAATGAATGAGTTACTTATTAACTCAACAAATATTGATTGAGTATCCACTACGTGCAAGGCCTTGTTCTAGGCACTGGCAAAACAGAATTTGTAAATCATGGTAAGAATTCGAACTTTTCTAGTGTACTTAGAAGCCCTTTAGGGTTTTAAGCATGAGAGAATTATGATTTGATTATACTTTTAAAAGATCAATCTGGCTGCTGTATGAGATGAACTGTAGGGAACATGAGGGTAAATAATTATTGCAATAATCCAGACAAAAGTTGATGGTGTTGTACGTAACACTCTTATGAGTATCAGTGGTGAAGAGCATTTCAAATGGTTGGGATCCAAAATACAAAACACTTTTTGTATATAAAATATACTTTATAAGCAATAGAATATGGTACAAATGTCAGAGGTAGATACTGTTATTACTAATTTCCATGGAGAATAAGAAAAGTCAAGTACAATGTAAACAATATGATAGCACTAGCAAAATTGCCAATCACAAAAATGTTCAAAACATCTTTTTTTTTTTTTTTTTTTTTTTTTTTTTTGATACAGATTCTCACTCTTTCTCCCAGGCTGGAGTGCAGTGGAGCTATTTCGGCTCACTGCAACCTTCGCCTCCTGGGTTCAAACAATTCTTGTGCTTCAGCCTCCCGAGTAGCTGGGATTACAGGCGTGAGCCACCAAACATGGCTAATATTTATATTTTTTATAAATATTTATATAAATATTTTTATAAATATTTATATAAATATTTTATAAATATTTATATAAATATTTTTATAAATATTTATATAAATATTTTTATAAATATTTATATTTTTTATAAATATAAAAAATGGGGGTTTCACCACGTTGGCCAGGCTGGTTTTGAACTCCTGACCTCAGGTGATCCACCCGCCTCAGCCTCCCAAAGTGCTGGGATTACAGGTGTGAGCCACTGCACCCAGCCAGGTTCAAAACATCTTGAAGGTCAAAGATCCACTCCAAAGTAACAAAAGGACTTGGTTATAAATAATAGCCACTACAAATAATTATGATTTTTGTAGACAGTACATAGACATAACCATGAGGAATCCCAAAATTTTAAGTATTAAGAAGAATGCAGACCTAAGAGATCAGAGTAGATATTTTCAGAAGCTATATTTAATGAATCTCTCCCAGGCCCAAAACAGAAAGCTTAAGTCCAACTAGAGTATAATTAATAATGTTAAGACAGCTAAGAAAAAAGCTACAAAATCTGTCTACAAAAAACAGACAGGGATAGTAGAAGAAAGGAAAATTACAGGCCAATTTCATTTATGAATATAGAGACAAAAATCCTAATTAATAGATTACTAGGCCAAATCTATCATATTAAATAAGTGTGTGTAATATTCATATGTGAATATGTATGTATATGTGTGCACACATATGTGTGTTAGCATATAAATGTACATATAGCCTGTCCAGGTGGGTATTAAATGCTAGGCCAGTTCAATATCTGAAAATCTACTCATATAATTCACCATATTAAACAGATCAAAAGAGAAAAACTATGTGATCAAACAGATGCAGAAAAAGATGTGATAAAACCCCATACTTTTTCATGACAAAAATGCTTAAAAAATAAGAAAGAAAATAGAATTTCCTTAATCTGATAAAGAGTATCTACCAAAATCCATGGCAAACAGCATACTTTAAAACTTATAAAGCAGTCCCCTTACAGTCAGAAGACAGACAAGGCTCTCCACTCTTACAATGTTAAAAATTATACTAGATGTCTTAGGCATTGAATGTTTTAAATAAAAGGTCATGAGAAACAAGAAAAGTCTGAGAAAATACTACAACCAAGAGAAGCCTAAGGAGACATGACAACTAAGTGTAATGCAATATCCTGGATGAGATCCTGAAATAACAAAAAAGACTCAAGGTAAAAACTGAGGAAATCTGAATAAACTATGGAATTTTAGCTTTATTTTTTAGTTAATAAAATAAATAAAAAATACTCTTTAGTTAATAATAATGTACCAATATTAGTTCATTAACTGTAACAAATGTATCACACTAACAAAACTGCCTTTGCAAAAATCATAACTAAGGAAAGTATGACAGTGAAAGAAATCAGACCTAACCAGTTCCATCTTGCTTCTAACCATTAAGCTGTCCTTGTTCATTCCTGGGCATAGGCTGAACTAACTTCGGGAAGGAATTCAGTTCATGGTTTTGACTCTGAAACAAAATTGATAATAGCTATTTTCCAAAAAGACCCCCTTCTTGCCCGGGGACCAGTCTGCCTTTGCAGGACTAACAAATTAGCTACAAGATTAGAAATCACTTTAGGGGTCATGCAGCCTCTGGCTCCAAGAGTCTGAACCTCCCCAAATTGCTTCTGGGAATAACATCACTATTATAAAACCTAAGATCCGTGCTTGAGATATTTTGCAGACCCTGCACTAGATCAATCAGCTGACACCACCCATCTGGCCCAACCAGTTCTGCCATCCCACCCAGGAACAGAAGATAGCAAGAAAAACTCACTTCTACCTGCTATGATTCCATCTCCGACCTAACCAATCAGCATTCCCCACTTCCCAAACCCCTACCTGTCAAATTATCTTTAAAAACTCTGATGCCCGAATGCTCCAGGAGACTGATTTGAGTAATAATAAAACTGCAGTCTCCTGCACAGCTGGCTCTGAGTGAATTACTCTTTCTCCTCTGCAGTTCCCCTGTCTTCATAAATCAGCTCTGAATAGGCAGCACACAAGGTGAACCCGTTGGGCAGTTACACTAATGTAAGATGTTAATAATAAGGGAAACTATAAGATGGGGTGGGGGAGGGGATAAATATCTGCTCAATATTTCTATAAATCTAAAACGTCTAAAAAATGAAGTCTGTTAATAAAAATATATGCGTAAACAGGCCCAGCACAATGGCTCACGCCTGTAATCCCAGCACTTTGGGAGTCCAAGGCAGGCGGATCACTGGAGTGCCACTGCACTCCAGCCTGGGTGAAAGAGTAAGAATCTGTCTAAGAAAAAATATATATAATATATATATAATATATATATTATATTATACATAATATATATTATATTATATATAATATATATTATATTATATATACATATATTAATATATAATATAATATAATATATACATATATTAATATATAATATAATATATTATATTATATACATATATTAATATATATTATATTATATATGTATATTATATATTATATACGTATATTATATATAATATATATAAATAATGTATAAACAATTCAACACTTAGAAAAAGCGTAAGGACTAGGAGAATAAAAACTGTAATTTAAAGATGCAAAACCTAGTCGCACAGAAAATCTAAGGGAATCTTTAAAGTATCAGAACTATTAATAATAAGAGTTGATGAGTAAGATCAATACTTTAAAAAGATGAGCAGCAAAGCATTTACTTATAATAGTAATGTGATAACCAACTAGAAAATGTAATTTTTAGAATGTACCATTTGCAACAATTAGGGAAAAAAATCTAACAAAAGTAGTATAATACCTACATGGAGAAAAAATATACACCCCTCTGCTATAGTCTGAATGTTTGTATCCCACCACCCCTGCCCCCACCAAAAATTCACCTGTGTGATGGTACTAGGAGGTAGGGCCTTTGGGAGATGATTAGGTCATAAGGGTGGAGACTTCATGAATGGCATAAGCACCCTTACAAAAGAGGCTCCAGAGAGCATGCTTCCATCACATGAGAACACAGCAGGGTGCTGTCTATGAACCAGGAAATGGGCCCTCACCAGACAATGAATGTGCCAGTGCCTTGATTTTAGACTTCCCATCCTCCAGAACTATAAGAAATAAGTCTCTGTTGTTTATAAGCTATCCAGTTTGCATTGTTATAGCAATCCAAATAGACTAAGAAATCCCCTATAGCACTTCTCACCTTCTAATACTCAACTATATTTATTATATTTCTTGCTTACTGTCTGATTCTGCCTATGTGATCCATGAGGGTAGGGATCTTCAACCACTGATGTATATTAAACACAGAATAGTGCATGGTACCTGATGCGTAATAACTGATTTGGTGAATAAATGAATAAATCTCACCAATAAACAGGAAAATACAAATTAAAACAATTTCTATACTTGTTAGATTAACAAAAATTTAAAATCTGATAACATCAAGTATCAGTAAGGAAACAGTGAAACAGGAAAAGGGTAAATGTAAATTGGCACAATCACTTCAGAAAGCAATTTAGTAATATCTACTAAGGTTGAACAGAGCATATCCTACAACCAAGCAACTATCCTTCCAGATATACACCCAGAGACTCTGTCAAATACAAGCATAGAGAAACAGGTCCAGAAATGTTCACTGCAGCACGCATTTATAATAGTGAAAACCTAATTGCCCATGAGTAGGAAAAGTAATACAGTGTGGTACAATCCAACTCTGTAAAGTGGTAGGTGCCCAAATCAGTCTTGATTAGCACTTCTAGGCCCACGAGGTGTATGGGAAACGTTACACACTGTAGAATAAAAAAGTTAGACTCTATATTGTATTTTTAAAATGATTTTGCAGCAAGTATGATGAAATCTTAATAATTAGTGAATCTTAGGGGTAGGTATACACATGGGTTTCCTTTTATTATTCCTGTATTTGTATGTATACTTAAATTTTTTTCATGATAAAAATAGAAAAAGAGAAGAGAAAAAAGCCAACTTGAAGAAACTCCCATTAACCAAAGATGAGATCATTTTAGTATCAAAAAGAATGTCCAGCCTGGGCAACATAGCAAGACCCCACCTCCACAAAAAAATTAAAAACTAGCTAGGTGCGGTGATGTGTGCCTGTAGTCTCTGCTACTTGGGAAGCTGAACTGGGAGGATCACTTGAACCTAGATATTCCAGGATGTAGTGAGCTATGATTGTGCCATTGCACTCCAGCCTGGACAACAGAGCAAGACCCTGTCTCCAAAAAAGAATGATTGCAATGGGCTGAAATACATTATCAAATATACCCAAATTTATAAATACATAGTAATATTCCATTTAAAAAAGAAAATAACTTACTGGTCACCTTGAGAAGTTGCTGAGGCAACAGTTCATTATTCTAAAAATATAAAAGAGAATGTTTTTCTTATACAGACTATATTTCTGTGAACTGAATAGCTGGTAACAGAAAAAAAATTTTTTTTTTCTTTTGAGACAGAGTCTCGCTCTGTTGCCCAGGCTGGAGGGCAGTGGTGCAATCTCAGCTCACTGCAAGCTCCGCCTCCTGGGTTCACGCCAATCTCCTGCCTCAGCCTCCCAAGTAGCTGGGACTACAGGCACCTGCCAACACGCCCGGCTAATTTTTTGTATTTTTAGTAGAGACGGGGTTTCACTGTGTTAGCCAGGATGGTCTCGATCTCCTGACCTCGTGATCCGCCCGTCTCGGCCTCCCAAAGTGCTGGGATTGAGAAAATTTTTTTTATAGACAAATCATAGCTAATAAATGCTGAAGGGATAATATAATTAGACTATCAGACCAGCCACAGTGGCTTCCGCCTGAAATCCCAGCACTTTGGGAGGCCGAGGTGGGCAGATCACTTGAGGCCAGGAGTTTGAGACCAGCCTGGGCAACAAGGTGAAACCCTGTCACTATAAAAAAAATACAAAAATTAGCCAGGCATGGTAGTGCACGCCTGTAATCTCAGCTACTCAGGAGGCTGAGGAACTCAGGAGGCGGAGACTGCAGCACCACTGCACGCCAGCCTGGGTGACAAAGTAAGACTGTCTCAAATAAAAATAAATAAATAAAAGAAAGAAAGAAAATCATTTTTCAGACTCTAATAAAATAGTCATTATTATTTGCAGCTAAAACCATTAGATGAAAGGCTGATGGGAAAACATCATAATGAATGAAATGGGCTGACAATACTTGAATCCACTGTTGAATTTTAACATCACCTCTATCACAAAAATGAACTATAACCTAATCTTCAAACTAATAGATGCACTTTTCAGTTTAAAGGAAATAAGAGAGATAAAGGAACATGGTAAATAAAACCTGGGGACACAATCAGCAAAATCCAGAATGTGCAGAAGTCTACAAAACAGATGAGGGAAAGTGAATGATTTTACAGCTAAGATGATTCAAGGAGCTGAGCTTGGTGTCCCATGCTTGTAAACTCAGCACTTTGGGAGGCCAAGGCGGGCAGATCGCTTGAGCCCAGAAGTTTGCGACCAGCCTGGGCAAATGGTGAAACACCATCTCTACAAAAAATACAAAAATAAAATAAAGTAAAATGATTTAAGAGACATGACAGCCAAATGGGCACATCTTATCTGGCTCTTGAAATGAAAAAATCAACTATGAAAACACATCTTCTAGATAATAAAGAAAATTGAAAAGACTAGGTATTGGATGACACTAAGAAATTATTAAGTTCAGTGTGATAATGGCATTGTGGTTTTTTTTTAAAAAAAAGTATTATCTGTTAGAGATCTATATTGATATATTTATGGGTGAGACAAGATAATACCTAGGATTGTTTTTTGTTTTTGATAGGGAATCTCGCTCTGTCACTCAGCCTGGAGTGCAGTGATGTGATCTCGGCTCACTGTAGCCTCTGCCTCCTAGGTTCAAGTGATTCTCCTGCCTCAGCCTCCCAAGTAGGTGGGAATACAGGTTCCCACCACCACGCCAAGCTAATTTTTGTATTTTTAGTAGAGACGGGTTTTCACCATGTTGGTCAGGCTGGTCTTGAAATCCTGACCTCAAGTGGTCTGACCACCTCGGCCCCCCCAGAGTGCTGGGATTACTGGCATGAGCCAACACACCCGGCTGGATTGGTTTTAAAATACTCCAGCAAAAAATGGAAGAGTAGGCCGGGCGCGGTGACTCACGCCTGTAATCCCAGCACTTTGGGAGGCCGAGGCGGGCGGATCACGAGGTCAGAGGATCGAGACCGTCCTGGCTAACACGGTGAAACCCTGTCTCTACTAAAAGATACAAAAAAATTAGCCGGGTGCGGTGGCGGGTGCCAGTAGTCCCAGCTACTCCGGAGGCTGAGGCAGGAGAATGGCATGAACCCGGGAGGTGGAGCTTGCAGTGAGCAGAGATCGCGCCACTGCACTCCAGCCTGGGCAACAGAGTGAGATTCCTTCTCAAAAAAAAAAAAAAAAAAAAAAAGGAAGAGTAACTCTACATTTTTTCATGCTTCAAAATTTCCATAATAAAAAAGTTTTTAAATGGAATAGCAACCAAAATGAGAGACCACTTCATACATGCTAAGAATCGAAGAATGGATATAATAAAAAAGATAATAACAAGTGTTGACAAGAATATGAAGAAATTGAAACCCTTATACACTGCTGGTAGGAGTATAAAATGTCATAGCCACTTTGGAAAATAGGCTGGCAGTCTATCAGTTAAATGCAGAGTTACCATGTGATCTAGCAATTCCACTCCCAAGTCATACGCAAGAGAAGTGAAAACATATGTCCACACAACATTTTGTATATAAACATTCGAAGCAGCATTATCCATAACAGCTAACAAGCAGAGAAACAACCCAACTGTCCATCAACTAATGAATGAATTTAAAATGTACTACATCCATACAATGGAATGTTATTTGGCAATAAAAAGGAATTTATTTACATGGTAAAACAAGAATGAAACCTTGAAAACATTATGCTAAGTGAAAGAAAACAAAGGACCACATGTTATATAATTTCATTTATATGAAATGCACAGAATAGGTCCATAGAGACAGAAGGTTGATTAGTGGTTGTATAGGGCTGAGGAGGATAGGGAAGAATGGAGACTGATGACTAAGGGCACAGGGTTTCTTTACGGGGCAATGAAAATATTCAAAATTGTGGTGATATCCATGGGCACAACTATGAAGCTAGTAAAAGCCACTGAATTGTAAGCTTTAAATGAGTGAACTGTATGGTATATATAAATTATATTTCAACAAAGCTGCTAAAAAGATAAACAGCACAGTGGAAGAAAGACGAAAGATAAAAACTTAGTGAATGCCATACCCTAGAATAAAAACAGAAGGCAAAAATCTGATTTGGAGTTGTGGTGATATCCATAGGGCACAACTATGAAGATACTGAAAGCCACCGAATTGTAAGCTTTAGATGAGTGAACTGTACAGTATATAAAAATTATATTTCAATAAAACTGCTAAAAAGATAAACAGCACAGTGGAAGAGAGGATGAAAGATGAAAATGTAGTGAGTGCCATACCCTAGAATAAAAACAGAAAGCAACAAAGATACTCCTCGAGAAGAGCAACTCCAAGACACATAATTGTCAGATTCACCAAAGTTGAAATGAAGGAAATAATGTTAAGGGCAGCCAGAGAGAAAGGTCGGGTTACCCACAAAGGGAAGCCCATCAGACTAACAGTGGATCTCTCGGCAGAAACTCTGCAAGCCAGAAGAGAGTGGGGGCCAATATTCAACATTCTTAAAGAAAAGAATTTTCAACCAGAATTTCATATCCAGCCAAACTAAGCTTCATAAGTGAAGGAGAAATAAAATACTTTACAGACAAGCAAATGCTGAGAGATTTTGTCACCACCAGGCATGCCCTACAAGAGCTCCTGAAGGAAGCACTAAACATGGAAAGGAACAACCGGTACCAGCCACTGCAAAAACATGCTAAATTGTAAGGACCATCGATGCTAGGAAGAAACTGCATCAACTAACGAGCAAACTAACCAGCTAACATCATAATGACAGGATCAAATTCACAAGTAACAATATTAACCTTAAATGTAAATGGGCTAAATGCTCCAATTAAAAGACACAGACTGGCAAATTGGATAAAGAGTCAAGACTCATCAATGTGCTGTACTCAGGAAGCCCGTCGCATGTGCAGAGACACACATAGACTCAAAATAAAGGGATGGAGGAAGATCTACCAAGCAAAAGGAAAACAAAAAAAGGCAGGGGTTGCAATCCTAGTCTCTGATAAAACAGACTTTAAACCAACAAAGATCAAAAGAGACAAAGAAGGCCATTACATAATGGGAAAGGGATCAATTCAACAAGAAGAGCTAACTATCTTAAATATACATGCACCCAATACAGGAGCACCCAGATTCATAAAGCAAGTCCTTAGAGACCTACAAAGAGACTTAGACTCCTACACAATAATAATGGGAGACTTTAACACCCACTGTCAACAATAGACAGCTCAACGAGACAGAAAGTTAACAAGGATATCCAGGAATTGAACTCAGCTCTGCACCAAGCAGATCTAATAGACATCTACAGAACTCTCCACCCCAAATCAACAGAATATACATTCTCCTCAGCACCACACCGCACTTACTCTAAAATTGACCACATAGTTGGAAGTAAAGCATTCCTCAGCAAATGTAAAAGAACAGAAATTATAACAAACTGTCTCTCAGACCACAGTGCAATCAAACTAGAACTCAGGAGTAATAAACTCATTCAAAACCGCTCAACTACATGGAAACTCAACAACCTGCTCCTGAATGACTACTGGGTACATAATGAAATGAAGGCAGAAATAAAGATGTTCTTTGAAACCAACGAGAACAAAGACACAACGAACCAGAATCTCTGGGACACATTCAAAGCAATGTGTAGAGGGAAATTTATAGCACTAAATGGCCACAAGAGAAAGCAGGAAAGATCTAAAATTCACACCCTAACATCACAATTAAAAGGACTAGAGAAGCAAGAGCAAACACATTCAAAAGCTAGCAGAAGGCAAGAAATAACTAAGAACAGAGCAGAACTGAAGGACATAGAGACACAAAAAACCCTTCAAAAAAATCAATGAATCCAGGAGCTGGTTTTTTGAAAAAATCAACAAAATTGATAGACTGCTAGCAAGACTAATAAAGAAGAAAAGAGAGAAGAATCAAATAGACACAGTAAAAAATGATAAAGGAGATATCACCACTGATCCCACAGAAATACAAACTACCATCAGAGAATACTATAAACACCTCTACGCAAATAAACTAGAAAATCTAGAAGAAAAGGATAAATTCCTCGACACATACACCATTCCAAGAATGAACCAGGAAGAAGTTGAATCTCTGAATAGACCAATAACAGGCTTTGAAATTGAGGCAATAATTAATAGCTTACCAACCAAAAAAAGTCCAGGACCAGACAGATTCACAGCCGAATTCTACCAGAGGTACAAGGAGGAGCTGGTACCATTCCTTCTGAAACTATTCCAATCAATAGAAAAAGAGGGAATCCTCCCTAACTCATTTTATGAGGCCAGCATCATCCTGATACCAAAGCCTGGCAGAGACACAACAAAAAGAGAGAATTTTAGACCAATATCCCTGATGAACATTGACGCAAAAATCCTTAATAAAATACTGACAAACTGAATCCAGCAGCACATCAAAAAGCTTATCCACCATGATTAAGTGGGCTTCATCCCTGGGATGCAAGACTGGTTCAACATACACAAATCAATAAATCTAATTCAGCATATAAACAGAACCAAAGACAAAAACCACATGATTATCTCAATAGATGCAGAAAAGGTCTTTGACAAAATTGAACAGCCCTTCATGCTAAAAACTCTCAATAAATTAGGTACTGATGGGACGTATCTCAAAATAATAAGAGCTATCTATGACAAACCCACAGCCAATATCATACTGAATGGGCAAAAACTGGAAGCATTCCCTTTGAAAACTGGCACAAGACAGGGATGCCCTCTCTCACCACTCCTATTCAACATAGCGTTGGAAGTTCTGGCCAGGGCAATCAGGCAGGACAAAGAAATAAAGGGTATTCAATTAGAAAAAGAGGAAATCAAATTGTCCCTGTTTGCAGATGACATGATTGTATATCTAGAAAACCCCACTGTCTCAGCCCAAAATCTCCTTAAGCTGATAAGCAACTTCAGCAAAGTCTCAGGATACAAAATCAATGTGCAAAAATCACAAGCATTCCTGTACACCAATAACAGACAAACAGAGAGCCAAATCATGAGTGAACTCCCATTCACAGTTGCTTCAAAGAGAATAAAATACCTAGGAATCCAACTTACAAGGGATGTGAAGGACCTCTTCAAGGAGAACTACAAACCACTGCTCAACAAAATAAAAAAGGATATAAACAAATGGAAGAACATTCCATGCTCATGAATAGGAAGAATCAATATCATGAAAATGGCCATACTGCCCAAGGTAATTTATAGATTCAATGCCATCCCCCCATCAAGCTACCAATGACTTTCTTCACAGAATTGGAAAAAACTACTTTAAAGTTCATATGGAACCAAAAAAGAGCCCACATTGCCAAGTCAATCCTAAGCCAAAAGAACAAAGCTGGAGGCATCATGCTACCTGACTTCAAACTATATTACAAGGCTACGGTAATTAAAACAGCATGGTACTGGTACCAAAACAGAGATATAGATCAATGGAACAAAACAGAGCCCTCAGAAGTAATACCACACATCTACAACCATCTGATCTTTGACAAACCTGACAAACACAAGAAATGGGAAAAGGATTCCCTATTCAACAAATGGTGCTGGGAAAACTGGCTAGCCATATGTAGAAAGCTGAAACTGGATCCCTTCCTTACACCTTATACAAAAATTAATTCAAGATGGATTAAAGACTTAAATGTTAGACCTAAAATCATAAAAACCCTAGAAGAAAACCTAGGCGATACCATTCAGGACATAGGCATGGGCAAGGACTTCATGACTAAAACACCAAAAGCAATAGCAACAAAAGCCAAAATTGACAAATGGGATCTAATTAAACTAAAGAGCTTCTGCACAGCAAAAGAAACTACCATCAGAGTCAACAGGCAACCTACAGAATGGGAGAAAATTTTTGCAATCTACTCCTCTGACAAAGGGCTAATATCCAGAATCTACAATGAACTCAAACAAATTTACAAGAAAAAAAAAACAACCCCATCAACAAGTGGGCAAAGGACATGAACAGGCACTTCTCAAAAGAAGACATTTATGCAGCCAACAGACACATGAAAAAATGCTCATCATCACTGGCCATCAGAGAAATGCAAATCAAAACCACAATGACATACCATCTCACACCAGTTAGAATGGCGATCATTAAAAAGTCAGGAAACAACAGGTGCTGGAGAGGATGTGGAGAAATAGGAACACTTTTACACTGTTGGTGGGACTGGAAACTGGTTCAACCATTGTGGAATACAGTGTGGCGATTCCTCAGGGATCTAGAACTAGAAATACCATCTGACTCAGCCATCCCATTACTGGGTATAGACCCAAAGGATTATAAATCATGCTGCTATAAAGACACATGCATGCGTATGTTTATTGCGGCACTATTCACAATAGCAAAGACCTGGAACCAACCCAAATGTCCAACAATGATAGACTGGATTAAGAAAATGTGGCACATATACACCATGGAATACTATACAGCCATAAAAAATGATGAGTTCATGTCCTTTGTAGGGACATGGATGAAGCTGGAAACCATCATTCTCAGCAAACTATCACCAAGGACAAAAAACCAAACATCGCATGTTCTCACTCACAGGTGGGAATTGAACAATGAGAACACTTGGACACAGGAAGGGGAACATCACACACTGGGGCCTGTTGTGGGGTGGGGGGAGGGGGGGAGGGATAGCATTAGGAGATATACCTAATGTAAATGACGAGTTAATGGGTGCAGCACACCAACATGGCACATGTATACATATGTAACAAACCTGCACATTGTGCACATGTACCCTAAAACTTAAAGTATAAAAATAATAAAATTAAAAAAAAAAAACAGAAAGCAAAAATCTGATATGCAGTTGGGAACCACAGACCAAGAACCATTATTATTAGAACTTATAAAATTCCACAATTTTTGTATAAGTTATATTTGGTTTTTAAATTGTTTTAATCCCTTCTTCTGATTCTGTATAATGACACAGAGCAAAGCCTATAAAACGAAAAGTACAACATGCTTCTTTACTAGGAAAACAAAGATGATGGCAGTCTGAAAGGCTGAATACCACTCCACAGCCAGGCTTGGGAAGAACGAAAACACAAAGTAAAGTACATGCAAAGATAGCACAAATGCTCAGAGTTACTAAGTGGAGAAAGAGGACTGGAGCTTTCAACAATGAAGAAAAGTTAGGATGTTGGTGTGGACATGAGAAGAGTTATACAGCTTAATAACAGAAAGCCTACCAAGAATAAAGGAGGTAACGGAAAACCCTGAAAAGAGTAGATGTTGCTTGTCCCAAATGCCATTTCTTCATCTTTCATTTAACTCACTGTGGGTTGAACTATGTCCTAAAAGATATGTTAGACTTCTAACCCTAAGTATCTGTGAATATGACCTTATTTGGAAACAAGGTCTCTGCAGATATAATCAAATTAATTCAATGACTGTTGTTCTTACAAGAAAAATGGAAATTTAGACACAGACACACAGAGACAGGAGAATGCATTGTGAAGACACAGACAGACACACAGGGAGGCACATTACAACAGAGGCAGAGATTAGAATGATACATCTACAAGCTAAGGAACAGCAAGGACTGCCAGCAACCATCAGAGGCAGAAGAGTACAGGATGCTTCCTCCTTCAGAGCCTCTAGACGGAGCTGAACTGATCCTGCTGACAGCCTAATTTCAGACTTCCAGTCTACAGAACTGTGTGAAAACAAATTTTGGTTGCTGTAAGCCACCTAGTTTGTGGTACTTTGTGATGGCAGCTGTAGGAAACAAATACAGTCATCAAACCACTGCATTTTGGCTTTCTGTACTAGTCTATGGATGTATACTCGTCATCAATCACCAAATCCAATAGCTCTATTTCATAATTCACTTGATTTAACATGTGATACTGTCAAGAATTTCTGCCTTGAATCTCTTTTTTTCTTTGTTCCATTAATCTTTCCTGGTTATCTTATTCTCTCTCTTTAAGGTTGCCCTTTCTCAGTCTCCTTTGTTTCTCAGAATTCTATGTCTAAGGTTTCCCAAGATTTTGTTCCTGTTCTTTAATACTGTCTCCATACGCTCTACCTGAGCAAGTTTTTCCATTCCTATGACTTCAATTGTTACTAATATATTAATGAAGCTCTATGCCTACAGCTCCCTACCCATTCAAACCTCAACTTCAAATTATCTCATGAAATTGTTTATCAACAATTTCTGCTGAAATATCCTCTGGCACTCAAAGTATATCTTATAATCAGACCCATTTTTTAGTAGCCCACATGTCCAAAATAAACAAATTTATCATCTTTTCCCTCCATCAGCAATAACAAAAACATTCTCCAATCCTGATGCCCCAGGTTGAGCTGAATGCATTCTCTTATACACACCAGCCTCATCTCTGGAGGTAAGTTAGGACCAGCAAGAACAAACAATGCAATAGTCTAAACATCCTCAAAAACAGGACACAAATAAGAATAATATCCAAAAAACTGAGAGACAGTAGAAGCAAAAGAAATGCCTCCAACTCACAGGTGTAACAAAAGAGGACAGATTCCCTGGTACAAGCTCCCTCTCTAAGAGTCTACAGCCAGACTAGTACCACAGTATGGGAGAGTGGGAAGAACAGAATAAATTGGAGATGGAACCTTCTAGTGACATTTCAGGCAATCTTCTAGCTGCCTTTTTTCTTCAATGCAATTTAAGTGATTTCATTCTCAGGACAACATGCTCTTGGGCCCCTCCCTGGGCAACCTATAAAGAGCATTGGAGATTTTCCCCCATCTCTCTATACTGCAAATAAGGCTGCTCCTACCTCATTGTCAGCTCCCAAGGCATTGATTTGCTCCCATTTGTAGGTCCAATATCTGGCTTCCTCCTCTGGGATATCTACCATAAAAAAAAGAAGAAAAAGAAAAGAAATCACATCAGCAGGTAATAAATCATCAGCAGATAACACTTTACTCTGTCTAATGACTGAAGTCAGAAGGTGGTAGTGATGCACAAGTTTTAACTGATGGTTTGGTTCTTGTCATGAACATTATCTTTACTCTTCACAAAAACCAATACAATGTACTGTTATTCCCATTGTTATTTTGTAGATGAAGAAGCTGAAGCTCAGAGAGCTAAAATAATCTGGTCAGGGTCACAGTTTATAAAGAGATGAGCCATGATTCAAACCATGGTTTGTATGATTCCAAAAACTACATTCTTTCTATGTAACCATACTACCTTCCCCTCAGCAAGACCAAAACCATCCAAAGGATTAGCTTAAAAGAAAAGTTATATGCTGAGATATTGAGATGCTCAAAATTCAAAGGTTTTCTCCCAAAAAAATTAAAAGTAGAATTACCATGTGACATAGTTCTCCCACTTTGGATTATATATACGAAAGAGGTGAAAGCAGGATCTCAAAGAGATATGTGCACACCCAAGTTCCTAGTAGCATTATTCACAATAGCCAAGAGTTGAAGCAACCCAAGTGTCCACTAATGGATGAAAGGATTAACAAAATGAGAGATTTACATACAACGGAGCATTATTCAGCCTTAAAAGGAAGAAAATCCTGCCACATGCCATAACATGGATAAACTTTGAGGACATTACACTAAATGAAATGAGTCCATCACAAAAAAGACAAATACTGTATGATTTCACTTCTCTAAGGTAACTAAAGTAGTCAAATTCACAGAAAAGAAAGAATGGTCGTTGCCAGTGGCTGTGGGGAGGGGGAAATGAGAAGTTGTTTGATGGAGACAGAGTTTTAGTTTTGCAAGGTGAAAAAGTTCTGGATATCTGTTGCACAACAATGTGAATGTACTTAACACTAGTGAACTGTACACTTAAAAATGGTTAAGATGCTAAATTTTCAGTTATGTCTCTTACCACAATTAAAAATTTTTTAAAAGAAGCTATTAAAAAATACTCACAGGTTTTATGCCTGGAAAATATTAGATGCTCAAATATTTGTTAAGTGAGTCTCTAAGTGAAAATATTTGAATTCTTAAAAAATAATGGTATAATGGTATATCCTCATTCCTAAACATTTTACATTGACTATAACAACTTCTCCCCAAAACTCACCTTTTAAAAACATCAAGTATGACCATCTAACCAGCACTGAAGAGAAACACTCAGGCAATATATGGATCATATCAACTTCAGAGACATTTCAACAGATACACTTTCTAGTAGCCACATGAATAAAGCAAATATAGCCCTTTCCTTTCTCCTTGGTTCCACCTGTCCAAAACTTCAGCTCCTTCCCTTCAACTAGCTCTTTAACAACTGGTAGCAATATTTCAAAGTCTTATTTAAAAACACTTACACACACCTTCAAATAGTCTACAACGTAATTTGTATAGTGCTTTCTCATCCATATGGTACACCCATAAAATGGTATACTATGCACCTGTTACAAAGAAGGAGAGTGGGAAGTGCAAGGTGGCAGAGGAGCTGCTGCTGCTGCAGGTCTATATGCTCTGATGTGGGATGATTCACCAAGATATACTAAGTGCAAAACAGCAAGGCACAGGGAATGTGTTAGAATATGCTACTATTTGCGTTTTAAAAAGAAGATGGTGGTGTGTGTGTGTGTGTGTGTGTGTGTGTGTGTGTGTGTGCTTATATTCAGAAACTGACTCTGGAAAGATACACAAGAAAGTATTAATAGTGGTAGCCTATAGGAAGAAAATGGATTTCTGAAGGGACTTTTCACTGGATAACTTTTTAAACCATTATTAATTTATTCCTGCCTCATTCCACAAAAATAGTTTTAAGAAGAAAAAAATACAGAGAGATACAAGCATGTTTATTGCAGTGCTATTTATAACAGTACAAACTTCAAACAATCAAAATACCCAACAGGAAGTGGTTAAATGTATTATACAAATAGTTAAAATTAAAAGCCCAGGCTCTAGAGTCAGACCATGGCCAAAATACTTAAATACTCTCTGCCATAGTTTGCTTATCTCTAAAGTGGGGAATAATAGTTGGGCCTGCCTCAAAGGACTGAAATGAGGATTACTGAGCTAACATATGTAAATACTTAGTGACATGCCCACCAACACACAATAATTCACCATAAATGTTACTTTGTTATTACTGATTTTTTTTTTTTTTTTGAGACAGAGTCTTGCTCTATCACCTAGGCTGGAGAGCAGTGGTGGAATCTCAGCTCACTGCAACCTCCATGCCTCCTGGGTTCAAGTGATTCTCCTGCCTCAGCCTCCTAAGTAGCTGAGATTACAGGCGCACGACACCTTGCCCAGCTAATTTTTTGTATTTTTAGTAGAAATGGGGTTTCACCATGTTGGTCAGGCTGGTCTTGAACTCCTGACCTCATGATCCACCCACCTCAGCCTCCCAAAATGCTGGGATTACAGGTGTGAGCCACCATGCCAGGCCCTGATTTTTAAATAAAATCAACTACTAAAAGTAGAAGAATAATGTCTATTTTATATAACATTTGTAACTATGTAATTAGTGAGTGAAATCAGTCAAAAAGTAATACAACATTAAAAAAACAACGATTTAAAGTCTCTGGAAATGGTTCTAAGTGCATACAGCAAAAGAAAAAACATTTATTCAAGAATATCTACTAAAATTTGGTGAAAATGGTCAATATCTGTGGTATTTGAACCAAGACCCACTCCCTCCAATTGATTTTCCCTTCACTTGCAGCTTGGTCTACAGTCCCACAAGAAAGACTTCCTTTCTATTTTTCTGAAATAATAGTTGTTCTGAGTTTAGTTCTTTCTGAGCTAGCTGGAAAATCATGTCATTTTTGCTTAAATCACCATAGGATACAAGATACAAATACACTGAGATCATAAAATGACAGCAATAACAATAGAATATGCAAATATCAATAATATGAACAGTAAAAAATTAAAATAAAACTAATAGAAATCAACTAAACTAAAACAAGATACTGTTGCGGGAAGTCAGGGACCCTGAACAGAGGGACAGGCTGAAGCCATGGCAGAAGAACATAAATTGTGAAGATTTCATGGACATTTATTAGTTCCCCAAATTAATACTTTTATAATTTCTTAAGCCTGTCTTTACTGCAATCTCTGAACATAAATTGTGAAGATTTCATGGACACTTATCACTTCCCCAATCAATACTCGAGATTTCCTATGCCTGTCTTTACTTTAATCTCTTAATCCCGTCATCTTTGTAAGCTGAGGTTGAATGTGGCCTCAGGACCCTGTGAGGATTGTGTTAACTGCACAAATTGTTTAAATAATATGAAATCTGGGCACCTTGAAAAAAGAACAGGATAACAGCGATGTTCAGGGAAAAAGAGAGATAACCTTGAAGTCTGGCTGCCTGTGGGCCGGGCGGAACAGAGCCATATTTCTCTTCTTTCAAAAGCAAACAGGAGAAATATTGCTGAATTCTTTTTCTCAGCAAGGAACATCCCTGAGAAAGAGAATGTGTCCCTAAGGGGAGGCCTCTGAAATGGCTGCTTTGGGGACGTCTGTCTTTTACGGTTGTAGATAAGGGATGAAATAAGCCCTGGTCTCCTGTAGTGCTCCCAGGCTTATTAGGACAAGGAAATTCCTGCCTAATAAATTTTGGTCAGACCAGTTGTCTGCTCTCAAAGCCTGTCTCCTGATAAAATGTTATCAATGACAATGCATGCCCGAAACTTCATTAGCAATTTTAATTTCGCCCCAGTCCTGTGATCTCGCTCTGCCTCCATTTACCTTGTGATATTTTATTACCTTGTGAAGCATGTGATCTCTGTGACCCACACCCTATTCGTACACTCCCTCCTCTTTTGAGAATCACCAATAAAAACTTGCTGGTTTTGTGGCTTGGGGGGCATCACAGAACCTGCCGACATGTGACGTCTCCCCTGGACACCCAGCTTTAAAATTTCCCTCTTTTGTACTCTTTCCCTTTATTTCTTAGACCGGCCAACACTTAGGAAAAATGGAAAAGGACCCACGTGAAATATCGGGGGCTGAATTTCCCCTGATAAGATATCATACAAAATAATCAAATAAAGATTAACCATTGGGAAACACAAAAGACTGCCAAGGATGTGCAGAAACAGGCACTCCCCAGATATAATTTATAAGAGTATAAATTGGTATAACCTTTTGGACAAGGAACTTAGTAGATTCCATAAAAAGTAATGATGTACTTATACTTTGATCCAGCAATTCTACTTTAAGAAATTTATTCTAGACTCAAAATGGGCAAAGATATACAGAGTTATTAGTTTGCGGTATATAACATCAAAAAAAAAAAAAAATGAAAAAACCCACCTGTCAATCAATAAAGGATTACTTAAATAAATTATGGTAGGCCAGGCATGGTGGCTCACGCTTGTAATTCCAGCACTTTAGGAAGCAGAGGTGGGCGGATCGTTTGAGGTCAGGAGTTCAAGACCAGCCTGACCAACATGGTGAAACCCTGTCTCTACTAAAAATTACAAAAAATTAGCCAGGTGTGGTAGCACAAGCCTGTAATCTCAGTGACTCAGGAGGCTGAGACATGAGAATTACTTGAACCCAGGAGGCAGAGGTTGCAGTGAGCCAAGATCATGCCACTGCCCTAAAGCCTGGGCAGAGCAAGACTCCATCTCAAAAAAAGGAAAAAAAAAAAAAAGATAAATTATGGTAGAGGCATCTGTTCAGATGAATAAGACAGATCTTAAAGTATAACATGGAGCGATGTTCAGGATAAATGTCTAAGCAGTTTGTAAAACACTATATATCAGCAAATAAATATTACATAGGGTATGATCCAAATTTTGCCAAAATAAGTTTTTGGAAAATAAATATCATGTGTCTAAACCAAAATACAAGAATGTTAACAGTGGTTTCACACTGGAGAATGCAGAGAAGATTAAAGGAACTGGGAAAATAAACTTTTAACTTTATCCATGTACATTTCCTTACTATTTGAATTTTTATCATGAGCATGTATTGTGATTTAATTTACATTTTAAATTATTATTCTATTTATCAGTGCTATTTAATACTTAAATTAACAAATCAGAAGGTATATATAGTCACTTCAAGACAATAAATGTTTATTTTCAAAATAATAAATCTAACAAGCAAATATTTCATAAGTCATTATAATAAATAGTCACAGAAAATTAAATGAGTTGAAGAGAATGCTTTTTAGTGTAGATTCTTTAATGAGCACTATTCTATATTCTACTTTGCACCATTCCCTGGGTGAAGTGTTATGAGAAAGAGAGTGAATGAAGACAAAATATCCTCAAAGGAGATGGCTGAGGTGACAAAATATACATTAATGAAACAACTAGCAAACAATTCCAAACAATATGGTAAAAATTATTAAATAGTTTTAAAATTTTACTCACCAAAAGGCAACTCAAATCTTGTATCAAGCAAAATTTTATGAGGAGTTGGGTTTCTAGTTCCACAGATCTCATCGTCTTTCATTAACGTCTCTGCCTCTAATGTGGACCATTCCCCAGGCCCTTCCTAGGAAACAAAGATCTAAGATTAAAGTTTAATCTTTCTTGGCTCCCTCTTAGTTCAAGAGTCAGGTTTTTTTCTCTGAAGTTCCTTGTTTGAGCTTCTGAGGGCCATTCACATCCTGATAAGGCAAACACACCACTATCACCACCTGCCTCCACTGCATGTGGCTTCTGTTTTCCCTCTTTGGTGGGGAGAGCAGCTTTCACTGTGCTCAGCTCTGCAGGTCTAACGAGGACAGAATGTCTGGAGTACCATACTCTAAAACTAAGTACCTCTGTGGATCAATATTTAACCTGCACAGTTCTTAATGACTGTGTCACTGTTTCTAGTCAGTAAAAAGCTACTAACATTGCTGGCTAAATAGGATTGAACTGGGGCAGCAATGAAAATGAACTGCCCATCTGCCTGGGGAGTAGAGACTTAGCTAGAACTAAAAGAAATACAGAAAATACAGGCAATTTCAACTTCCCCACTCCCAGAGAAAACTCATGGTCCATGTTAACACCAAACAGGAATATAACAGATTTTGTCCAGGTCCAAAGTGGGGAAATGATGCTGAGTTATGGTCTAGTCTAGGAAAGTGAGGCAAGAGTTCAATCCTAGAAATAACGTATAGAGACAGTGTGAATACAAATTGCCAAGCCTGGTAGTTCCTTAAACTCTGTCAGGCTTACATGCAGAAGAAGGGCACTGAAAACTAGTTCCTTGGAGATTGGTAACTCAAAGAAACAAAGCAGAGAATAGCCAGCCAGCTGGCTAAGGAAGTTTAATGGGACTCCTCCCAGGGCAGTGACTTAGAAGAGAACACAGAAACCACAAGTACCCTAAGTAAACACACACACCGACACACACATACCTCAGAAGGGGCTATCTACCTGATAAGGCTGAAGAGGTGCTCTGGAGCCTGTGAGTTGTCACAGGACACAGGGTAGGCCAGACATAAATAAAATCATCTGAACCTTCAGGTGAAGTTAGGAACAGGCAGGTTGCATGCCCTCTAATTAGAAAGGGGGAAGAATAATCCAAGATGCATGGATGAATATTAGCTAAAGTGGAGCTAGCATGGGGAGAAGCATGGGCTGGGAACCATACTTCCAAACAGAAAATGCAATGACTGACCTCATCCGACTGACGAATAGTCTTCAGCGCAATCCACACAGTCCCCACCATGGTGTCCCAGATCAGTCCTTTGTTCCATACCTCCACACTTAGACCCAGGTCCAGGCGACTAATCTCACTAAGGGAAAGAGGAAAGCCCTTTGAGGAAAGCTAGACAATATGAAAGAAACAACTACATCTCCTGTTTTGCTAAACTTTGAATGCTTTCTCACCAGGATCCTGTCTTCAGGAAAAATCAAAATTTCCCAGAATGCCACGACCATTTTTAGGCTCCAAGAAACCTATAATAGGTATCCATAGAAAACTGCCTTTGTTACAGTTAAATAAGTTCCAGAGACCTGCTGCTATACCACATAGTGCCTCCAGTTAGCAATAAGGTATTGTGCACCTCAAAATTTAAGAGGGTAGATTTCATATTAAATGCTCTTAACACACACATACAACAAAAAAAAGGAGACACAAGTAAACTTTTAGAGGTGATAAATATATTTACTACCTTGATTATGGTGATGGTAACACAAGTATATAAATGTCTAAATTGTATACATTAATTATGTACAGTTTCTTATATCCCAATTAAACCTCAGTGGGGAGGGGGGGCGGGAAAAGAAAGAAAAATGCCTTTGTCTATCCATTCTTTCCGCTTTGGAGATACAATCATAATTAGACTAATGCAGTTTCACACAATATGAGGCCAAGTAATAAGGACATTATTGCCAGGCCTGCCTGCCAATTTCCACCCATAGGCAACAGTTTTATATGTTTTATTGTTAACTAACACTGCTTCAACTTAAACTACACATCGTATACAGGAAACTTTTAGGAAAGGTAAGTCTACTTTACAAGATTTATCAGGCTGGGCATGGTGGCTCAAGCCTGTAATCCCAGCACTTTGGGAGGTGCACAGATCACCTGAGGTCAGGAGTTTGAGACCAGCTTGGCCAACGTTGCAAAACCCTGTCTCTACTAAAAATACAAAAATTAGCTGGGCATGGTGGTGCACACCTGTAATCCCAGCTACTTGGGAGGCTGAGGCACAAGAATCACTTGAACCCAGGAGGCAGAGCCAAGATCACGCCACTGCACTCCAGCCTGAGTGACAGAGCCAGACTCCATCCCCACCAAAAAAGCCGGGGCGGGGCGGGGGGGATTTATGAAAGGGAGTCCAGGTAGAAGTAGGGTCCCTGAGAACATATAAGTTTGATAGGAACATGTGGTCACAGGCAAGTGAGGGGCTCTAGAGTGTGCTAGTTCACACCACTCAGTCCCTGGAGACTCATTAATCATTATTAAGCTAGGCACTGTCACTTATAAGCAAAATTATTACCATGGGATAATGATAAATACAATGATTTTCCTATAATAATAACCAGGGGAAAAAATTCGAAAAGAAATCATTCCATAAAGAGCCAGATAAGCACTATTTAAAAGCAGTATCATACATGGTTGAATATCTGCTTGGAAGGACTAACTCAAACATAATCCCAGTATTAAACTAGAATACGCAAATAGTACCTGTGTTAATGCTAAAAACGTTCTCCAGAAAGCTCTTATTGAAACACAAGGTTACTTGAGGGGTAATCCAAGAAAGATGAGAAAAGACCAATTCCAGCAGAGAAAGCAGAAAGGCATTCTCAGGAAAACAACAGCTATTTATCACAAGTAGAAGCTTCAAGTCTGTACTTTAGAGAAAGCTTGGGTTCCCTGTTGTGCTATAAAATAAATGTTCTCAGATTCACAAGTTTGAGATATAGAATGACAGCCACAGAATTCATGTCAGGTGTTGAAAATGAATAAAGCAAAGAAAATTTGTCCCTTTTATATAAATATAATACAGCATAGAATGTACTGAGTTAATTTATTCATTTAATTAGCATTTCCTGAGCACTTACAAGACATATGACTTAGTGCTTTGGAGTAGAAACATAATATAGGACTCAGTTTTTGTGTCCAAAAACTTCTAAGCTATCTGGAGAGCTGTTCAGAGCCACAAAGTAGATGAATAAGCCTAGCCACTAAGTTACAGTGTTCACAGTGGAGAAACTAAGCTTTTTGTCACATAATTTAATTCAGCCTAATTAACCAATTAGTCTTGGAAAAGATATGTGACATCCTCAAATCCATTGGACTTATCCATCATTTGAATATGGAATCGAAAAATTGCTTGGGCCAGGTGCAATGGCTCATGCCTGTAATCTCAGTATGTTGGGAGGCTGAGGTGGGAAGATCACTGGAGCCCAGGAGTTTGAGACCAGCCTGGACAACATGGCAAAACCTAGTGTCTCCCAGAAAAATTTTTTTTAATTAGCTAGACATGGTGGCATGCATCTGTAGTCCCAGTTACTCAGGAGGCTGAGGCAGGAAAATCATTTGAGCCCAGGAGATCAAGGCTGCAGTGAGCCAAGATGCTGCCACTGCACTCCAGCCTGGGCAACAGAGTGAGACCCTGTCCCACAAAATAAAGAAAAAAAGAAATTTGCTTGGGGATACATATATAATATTCCCAAATCAACTCCCAAATAGCATCTCAAGCCAACAGACAGAAGAAATAGCCAGAGGTCTTCAACAGCTTGACTTGAACAGATAAAGAAGAAAATCTGCTCTTCAGAGAACTCTCTAGGGAGAAGGCCCAAACAATGAGTATATATTCTATAAGAAGCTTCTCATCTCACCTACATTTGCTCAGCAGGTCCAGCTAAGAGAGGTCTGAGAGCTCTGTTTATGCTTCATACCCAGGACCCTAGGGAAGTTTCTTTTCTGTTAATTCAATCAACAATATACATAAACACGTGTATAGCAGACTCTGGGCTACACAAATGCACACAAATAGTGAAGATGCCCACCTTACCCTTAAGAAATGAACAATCTAATCCTAAAAACAAGATATGAAAATATTAAAAACAAATAATATAAGAAATACCAAAACGAATATTAGATACTGCCACATAATACATCATGGAGAAGGAAAAAGGAGAACGGGAGATAGGAAACCAGCACTGGAGATTCCGGTGACAAAAGGACAGGGTAGTAGACTAAGTTCTGCAAGGAGTGAACCAAAAAAAATAAGTAAATAACTAAAATAGGACAGGATAGGAGGAATAAGGAGTAGGAAGAGCAGAAAAGTAGAGAAAGTAGCTAATAAAACCCACGTGTAAAAGAAGAGGGCAAAATTCACACAGCATCTCAACGTGGGAGAGACAGGAAGAAAATTCACACATATCACAGCAGGGTCAAAAGGGGAAGTGCTATGGGAAATTGGAAAATAAACACATAAGAATAATGCTGGCTATGCTGATGAGAGGCTGCAGAAGATCACTGTGCCTCATATGATGGGAAGAGTTATAACTGGAAATTATGGTTATAGCCAACTGGAAGTGCTAGGTTTATAAACCATAGCCAGGACTATGGCTAACATACTGGTATGGAAAGAGACTTGCATAAACCATTTGTAGCTGACTCTGTACACTGCATGTGTAAAGAAGGAAACAGGTGCTCTCGGTCTCATATCACTGTCACTGAGAGAGGGAATAAATGAGGCTTATATAATCTTGAGAGAGAAGCAACCAGTGAGAAAGAAACATGACACCATTGGCCTCCTTCTCTTTGAAGCCCAGTTCTCCCTCAGCTTCCAAGACACCATTATCTCCTGGCTCTCCTACCTCTCTGTTCAATCCTTTTTAGTTCCCTCTGTCCCCTCATTAAATGCTGCCACTCTCCAGCTTCTACTCCAGTCCCTTTTCTCACCATACACATTCTCTCCCTAAGCTTTCTCATCTTCACCTATGGCTTCAACTGACCAAAATATTTCTCCAAAGCAGACTTCTTCCCTGAGTGCCAGCTTTAGGTTTCTAACTATCTTCTGTACCTCTCATCCTTCCTATCTGTCCTATAAGAATCTCAAATATAAGATTGTCCATAACTGATATTAATCCCTATCCTACTGAATGGCATACCACCCAACCCATCTTCCAAGAAAATGTTTTGGTTCTACTTCCTGAATACCTTCTATTCATCCTTTTCTACGTCTTCTGCTATTGTCCTAGCCCAAAACCTTATAATCTTTGCCTTTAACTATCACAATAATGGTCCTATAGGAAGCAATATAAGCTGGGTGCAGTGGCTAACACCTGTAATCCCACAGCTTTGGGAGGCCAAGGCGGGAAGATTGCTTGAGCCCAGGAGTTTGAGATCAGCCTGGGCAACATAGTGAAACCCCATCTTTACAAAAAATAAAAACATTAGCCAAGGTGTGATGGTACATGCTTGTAGTTTCCATTACTCAGGAGGCTAAGGCAAGAAGATCGCTCAAGCCCAGGAGTTAGAGGCTGCAGTAAACTATGATCATACCACCACACTCTAGGATGGGTGAGAGAGTGAGATCCTGCCTCAAAAAAAAAAAAAAAAAAAAAGCAGCAATATACCAAGAGCCCAGAGGATTGGAAATGTCTCCCCTTAAAAATAATAACCATCCCTATGTCCCTCTGAGCTGCACTATAAAACATGCAAATCGATTTCAGTTCAGTTTCAAATTTCACAGCAAATTTCAGTACGTTTTCTCATTCAGCCCCTTCATGCCCACCTCCAACTCCCAGAAAAAACAAGCATAATCTTCTGAGAAAGGAAGACCTTTACAGATAAGGAAACTAGTGCCCTATGAAGCTAAATGATTTGCCCAGTCCTTCAATATATTCTATACTTTTCTCCCCTTTTGTAGAACAGGAACAAAAAAATCCTGAAACTAAAGGGACAAAAGAAAGAAATAACAAGTTTTTAAAGCCAAAGTTTAATTAAAATCATAATATACTAAACTTTGTCATACACGAGAAATTCTACTAATATTTATTCATTTTAATTAATTGAATATAGGACATTTTACTCCATAAAGCAAAAGGATTATAAGCACAGAAATCTTCAGCCTCTAAAACAGATGACTGAGGTACACATGAAGATACAGTCTCTCACATGCATGGCCACATTCCTTCAAAGAGCCTTCTCAGAATCAAAGAAAGATGAAGTTATGTTTAATGTCATGCTAAGTCTGTTGTACTGTATTCTAATTCTGACCACTGAGAAAATCTGCCTATGTAGTTTTTCACCAACACAAATCAATTGGGAGTTTACCTGCATTATCATTCATCTCTAAGAACAAATTACGAATCCATGAGAAAACAAAACTGCAGTTGTGCTTCATGTACCATGAACCTCACTTATTTCTATAACTCCACAGTTTTCAAAACAGTATTTAACAGTGCCAGTACATTTTATAAATCTCAAAAATACACAAAATCTTCTAATTGTTTCATCCAATGCAATTCCCTTAAAAAGATTATAAAATATGTAGGCACACTGCTGCTGCAAAATACTTACAACATGAAATCCTGTTCCCAGGAAGGCTGATCACCACGAACTGCTACAGTTGTGCTCTTCACATTCTGTACTTTCAGGGTCACATATGTGTTAAATTTATCTTTGAAAAAATACAAAATGGAGACATAATACTTAGTGCTCAGATTGTTACCCATCTCACAAAGCCCTTGGAATTAAGCAATATAGAAATTAAAGTATTACATGTGCAGGAAAAAATTAAGCTATATTGTACAACATAGCCTCATTCAAGACATAGCAGAGTTGCCGAAATTATAAAACTACGTGCTATCTTCAAGAGCATAATCTAAAATACTATTTTTTTAATTTTAAGAAATTTTATATATGACCCAACAGATATGCATACACACACACTCAAACTGAAACAGATTCATGAATGCCAAGATATGATACATTGATATTTCCTGTTCTAATTTATTTAATCTATTACAATGTTAATCCTAACCTACTATGTTAATTATATAGCCCACTTGCCATCTGGGGGGAAAAATCCAAATCTAATTGACCTACTAGGAAAGATAAGGTACGTAAATTTAATAAAATGTAGAAAGAGATACATACCAGAAGGAAAAAAGAAAAAGTGATAAAGAACTGCAGAGCTGAGCTGTTAACAGGGACAAAAATTAAGGAAAAATCTTCACAAAGAAAATAGATTTCAAGCTCGATCTACTCAGTTTGGCCTAAAGCACAAGTTACATAAAAAGAAATCTTTTTTTTTTTTTTTTTTTTTTGAGACAGAGTCTTGCTGTGTCACCCAGACCAGGGTGCAGTGGCATGATCTTGGCTCACTGCAACCTCTACCTACCAGGTTCAAGCAATTCTCATGCCTCAGCTACCCAAGTAGCTGGGATTATAGGTGTGCGCCACCATGCCCAGCTAACTTTTGTATTTTTAGTAGAGATGGGGTTTCACCACGTTGGCCAGGCGGTCTCAAATGCCTGACCTCAAGTGATCTACCCATCTTGGCCTCCAAAAGTGCTGGGATTACAAGCATGAGCCACCAGGCCCAGCCAAAAAAAGAAATATTATCACAGAGTTGAGAAAAGGAAATTCTCTAACCTGAGAGTTGAGTACTAAACAAGTTGATTACTAAACAAAGGTGGTGGCCTGAAACTTCAAACTCAGGTGTCTCACCTAATTCTTATTACAGCACATTTGGCACTCACCTCACTACATCCACATCAGCCATGATTAGGGGCACTGAATTGAGGGTTTGCTTTTCTATGTAAGAAATTAATCCTAATGTTATACAATGAAAAAATAGCAAACTATCACTTTGACTCATCAAATTGGCAAACATTGCTTAACATGATTACCTAATGTTACAGAAGATATGAGAAAATGGAACCCGTCATACACTTTCAGCTGAAGGTAAGTCTTTCTTTTAAATATCATTTAAAATGGTGTGGTTTTATACTTATCAACATGGAAAATTTATAATTATATTAAAGATATATGAGGATAAAAGCCCATACAAGGGGAATCTCCATCCATATCCAGTAGTAGTAGTAGTGCAGTAGGCCACTGAGCTATGTTTTATATTACATTATTTTGTACTCCACCCCAACATCCAATCACACATAGCTGACCAGACCAAGAGTAAATAACCCAAGAGCAGCCAATCCATGAGCTGGCCAAAAGCTGAAACAAACCTGATTCCCTCTCAAAAGATTTTAAATAGGGTAAAAAGATAAATATTGACAATTGGTGGTTGGTGCTGAAGCTAAAAGGAAGGGGTATAAATTCCACTGAGGCAGCTATTATGGGTACAAGATGGGTAAGCATAGAAAACCAGCTGGGAGAGAAACAACAGAGCAGATTCTCAGAAAAAAAGAGCCAGCAGAGACAAAAAGATAATAACCTTTAAAACAAGAAACTGCTCAGAAACTGCTTTCATTACTGTTGCACCCAAGGTCCAGTTTTTCAGGTTTTCCTGGGTTCTCAAGCGTATTCATATATTTCCAGTAACCCTCCAGCTCCCCTCCCTCCTTCCCCAGCAGTAACCAGAGGAAGTCTTCCTAATGTGACAATCAAAATTGAGGAAATGCACATTAAAATAAGGAAATACCATTTTTAATCTTCAGATGGACAGAGATTTTAAAGTTTCATATCAAATGTTGATAAGGATTTGGGAAAATAAATGTTCATAAACTTTTGGTCTCGGTATATATAGTAAAAACTTGCAAGAGAACAATTTGGCAGGAGTTACCAAATTTTTAAAAATATATATACACTTTTGACCCAGCAATTCTACTTCTGAATCTAGTACATAGACACATTTGCAAAAGCAAGCAATGAGAAGTGCACAAGAACATTTATTATTTGTAATAGCAAAAACTTGGGAACCTAAATATTAATCAAGTATTAATCAATCAGGGACCTATTAATCAGGGTACAAATCTACAACAAAATTCTGTACAGCACCTTAAAAGAACGAACCAGACACACACATACACACACACACACACACACACACACACACACACACACACACACACTTTCATGATGTGTTGCTGGGGGAAAAGCAGGTTGCATAAGATATGTTTCACATGGTCTATTTGAATATTTTAAATTTTAAGAAATTTTATATATGACCCAATAGATACATATACACACACTCTCAAGCTGAAACAGGTTCATGAACTGCAAGACATGATACACTGATATTTCAATATTTATCCACTACACACTGGGGCCTGTCGTGGGGTGGGGGACGGGGGGAGGGATAGCATTAGGAGAAATACCTAATGTAAATGACGAGTTAATGGGTGCAGCAAACCAACATGGCACATGTATACCTATGTAACAAACCTGCACGTTGTGCACATGTACCCTAGAACTTAAAGTAAAAAAAAAAAAATTGTTTCCACTAATTGTCAATATTTATCCTTTTACACTATTTCAGACTTTTTTCTGAGAAAAAGTCGGAAAAGGTATATCAAAACCTCTAAATATATAGTTATTATTGAGAAGTAGAATTGGGTTAGCCAAGAGGTAAGAAAACTAATTTTTCACTAGATTAATGATTTCATGAATTAATTTAGTGAAGTAATGAATCAAATTACTGAATTTGATCAATGAATTAATAATTTTTTTAAATTGCTTTGAAATAACAGCAAATACAAGAGGAAAAGACATAATAGAAAGCTGGCCTTACCTGGTGAACCCTGGAATTTGGCCCTTTTAACTGCAAGAGAAAAAAGAGGATACCATGAAGAATGTTTCCAAGTTCATTTTACTTAAGCAACATTTATTAGGCACTACATACCAATGTTAGAACTAGGTTTAGATTGTTAAATCTAAACCTGGAGAAAAAAAGCTGAGACTTCTGATCAAAACTTGAAAGGCAAAGAGTCAGACGAGACCTTAAAAGTCAATCTGATCTCATATCCAATGCAAAAATCTCTGTTCCAGGCTCCTGACAACAAGGTGGAGAGATCTAAGTTACTCCTGTGGCAGGCAGCCAGTTTCATGTGAGATATCTTCTGAAAGTTTAAGTTACAAATGTTCCTTATTTAAAACCTAGCATAGAAATCCCCTCTATTCTGTTCACACCAAAAGAAGAGCATAACAGGCCAGATCTAGATAATAACCTTTAAAACAAGAATGAGAAATAACTTCTTTCTGAAAATAAGCAGATAGTAAGAGGAGCTCCTGTCAATGTAATCACAAAGCGCTGTTTCCAAAGGCAGTAGAGAACTACACAGGAAAGAATCCCACACTGGAGTGCACATGCCAACTCCTGGGAAAGGTCAAAGACCATACATGCAGGAAAACTGCTAAATCTCAGAAAGCACCAAGTAGCTATCAAAGAAGATTAGAGCTACGTGCCACAGGAGAAAAAAAAAGGTGAAGAAAACCCTAAAACACAAAACCTGGAAAGGATGCTTAAGAGTATACGTCTGCCATTCTCCTTATCCTGCATTACTACTGAAAGCTTCACCTTAACTAACATCCAAGTCCTGCTTAATACTTCTAAGAGATGGGTCATTCTGTACCTTTCACACGTCCTCTCCATTTTCAGACAGGATTTTACTAAAATCTATTCTTTTTATTGAAACAAAGTCTGTCTCTCACTGGAGACTACCTTTTGTAGTCCCATTTCAGTTCAAATCCTCTTCCCAACTGGTGTTCTTTTTCACAAATGTGTAGAAAGTACATACACATCTCTCTGAATAGCCTGGCTAAAGCTACCTTAAAAAGATTAAGCTCTGCAATTACTAATTGGTCAATAAGCATAAATTTGCCATTATGCTAGTCAACGATATAGTGATAATAATGGTTCTGTAATGTGACACTCTATTGAGTGCCACTTGATTGCATGTGAAGGATGCAAAGTATTGTTCCTGGCTGTGTCTGTAAGGGTGTTGCCAAAGGAGATTAATGTTTCAGTCAGTGGACTGGGAGAGACAGACCCACCCTCAACCTGGGTGGGTACCATTTAATCAGCTGACAGCACAACTAGGATAAAAGCAGGCAGAGGAACGCGGAAGGAGAAGACAGACCTGAGTCCTCTGGCCTCCATCTTTCTCCCATGCTGGATGATTCCTGCCCTTGAACATCCAAGTTCTTCAGCTTTTGGACTCTTGGTCTTACACCTGTGCTTTGCCAGGGGCTCTCGGGCCTTTGACCACAGACTGAAGGCTGCACTGTCGGCTTCCCTACTTCTGAGGTTTTGGGACTCGGACTGGCTTCCCAGCTCCGCAGTTTGCAGATGGCCTAGTGTGGGACTTCACCTTGTGATGATATGAGTCAATTCTCCTAATAAACTCTCATATATAGATATGTGTGTGTGTGCATATATGTATATGTGCACTCACACACACACATACACACACACACACACACCCTATCAGTTCTGTCCCTTTAGAGAACCTTGACTAATACAGGTTCTTTCTGGGGGCAGGGGGAACCTTGCAATCTACCAAGGCAGTGGAATTTCAAGCTTGAGCATACATTAGAATCACCTGAGGGCTGTTAAAGCACAGAATGCTGGGCCACATCACCTTAGTTTCTAGACTCAGTGCAGTGCAGCAGGGCCTGTGAAACTGTATTTCTAACAAGTTCCCATGTGATGTTACTGGCATTTACTGGCTAAAGAACAGGGATGCTGGTAAACATTCTACAGTATGCAGGACAGTTCTCCAGAGCAAAACCTAGCCTATCCTACCACCAGTGCCACCCATCACTGCATGCCTCCTGGAGGTCTAGGGACTAGCTTATCAAGCCTGCTCCCACCACTAAAAGCCACACATGCTGCTGAGTGGTGCAAGGACTGGCGCACCACTGCTGCCACCACTGTCAACTCCTCACACGTCACCGCGGGGATCCAAGGACCCACCCACTTGGTCAGCCACTGGCACTGCCAGCACCCAAGCATACCACCTGGAGGCCCAAGGGAGCCCAAAGACTGGCATTCCTAGAATGCCACTGCTACTACTGATTCCAGAGGACCAGCCCATCTGGCATATCAGTCCCCAGCAAAGTCTTGTCACAGCCTCCGCCAACAATTATAGCCTACACCACTGAGAAGCCAAGAAACTAGTCCGAGTAAAGGTGAAGAAATCATACGGAGACTACACTACTGCACCCACCCAGAATCAAAGCCAAAACACCTTTCCCCAGCAACAATATAGATACATCTACAGAAAAAAAGTCTTTCCCTAAAAAAGCCACTCCATAACATTAAAAGAAGGAATTGTTATAACACATACACAAATATCAATATAAGAAGAAAAGAAACATTCAGCCGGGCATGGTGGCTCACACCTGTAATCCCAGCACTTTGGGAGGCCAAAGTGGGTGGATCACTTAAGGAATTCGAGACCAGCTTGGCCAACATGGGAAACCCCATCTCTACTAAAAATACAAAAATTAGCTGGGTGTAGTGGCACATGCCTGTCATCCTAGCTACTCGGGGGGCTGGGGTGGGAGACTCGCTTGAGCCTGGGAGGCAGAGGTTGAAGTGAGCTGAGATAGCACCACCACACTCCAGCGGGGGTGACAGAGTGAGACCCTGTCTCAAAATAACAACAACAACAAACAAGAACACAATAAATATGGGTTCTTGTGTTTTTCCAGTTCTTAGAGGAAAGGCTTTCAACTTTTCCCCATTCAGTAGGATGTAAGCTATGGGTTTGTCACATACGACCTCTACTGTGTTGAGGTATGTTCCTTTAATGTGTAATTTTTTGAGAGTTTTTTTTTTTATGATGAAGGGATGTTGAATTTTATCAAACGCCTTTTCTATGTCTATTGAGATGATCTTAACAGTTTTTGTTCTTCATTCTGTTGATGTGATGTATCGCATTTATTGATTTGCATATGTGGAACCATCATTGCATCCCTGGGATAAATCCCCCTTGATCATGGTATATTATCTTTTTGATATATTACTTGATTTGGTTTGCTAGTATTTTGTTGACGATTTTTGCATCTGTGTTTATCAGGAGTATTTGCCTGTAGTTTTATTTTTTTGTTCTGCCATTGTCTGGCTTAGTAGACAATGCCCCACTTTCACAACTCTCATTCAACTTAGTACTGGGAGTCCTAGCCAGAGCAATCAGGCAAGAGAAAGAAATCCAAGGCAACCACACTGGAAAAGAGGAAGCCAAATTGTCCCTCTTTGCACATGACATGATCTTATATATAGAAAAACCTAAAGACTCCACTGTTTGTTTTTAACTCTAGATCTGATCAATATATTCAGTAAAGTTGCATAATACAAAATCAACTACAAAAATCAGTAATAATAAACTAGCTGAAAAAGAAATTTAAAAAGTAATCACATTTACAATTACTACAAAAAATATTCAATACCTGGGAATAAATTTAACCAAGGGTGAAAGACCTCTACAACAAAAATGACAAAACACTGATGAGAGAAATTGAAGAGAACACAAACAAATGGAAAAACGTACTATGCAAATAGGCTCTAAGAATATTGTTAAAATGACTGTATTATCCAAAGCAATCTAGAGATTAAATGCAATCCCTATCAAAATACCAATGCTATTCATCAGAGAAATAGAAACAACAATCCTAAAATTCATATAAACCACAAAAGACCCTGGATAGTCAAAGCAATGCTGAGCAAAATGGACAAAGCTGAAGGTATCATGCTATCTGACTTCAAAATACACCATAAAGCTATAGTAACCAAAGCAGGTTACTACTGGTATAAAAACTGAGACACAAGCCAATGGAATAGAATAGAGAACCCAGAAATAAATCCATGTATTTACAGCCAATTGATTTTTCAACAAACGTACCAGAAAAACACAGAGGAAAGTATAATATCTTCAATAAATGGTGTTGGGAAAACTGAATATCCATATTACAGAAGAATGAAACTGGGCACCTATCACAAAAATCAACTCAAAATGAATTCAAGAGTTAAATATAAGACCCAAAACTTTAAAACTACTAGAAGAAAACACTTCAGGACATTAGTCTAGTCAAAGATTTTATGGCTAAGACTTCAAATGCATAGAAATAAATAAAAATAGACAAATGGGACCCTATAAAACTAAAAAGCCTTTGCACCGCAAAAGTAACAATCAATAAAGAGACAAACTACAGAATGGGAGACAATATTTGCAAACTATTCATCCAACAAGGGACTAATATCCAGAATATATAAGGAACTCAAATCAAGAGCAAAAAAAAAAATCCCATTAAAAAGTGGACAAAGGATCTGAATAGACATTTCTCAAAAGAATGGCCAACATGTATATGAAAAAAATGCTCAAGAGTACTAATCATCAGGAAAATTAAAATCAAAACCACAGTGAGCTATCATCTCACCCCAGTTAGAATGGCTATCACCAAAACCACAAAATATAACAGATGCTGGCCTGGATGGAGAGAAAAGAGAACTCATATACACTGTGGACAGGAACGTGAATTAGTACAGCCCTTATGGAAAACAGTATGGGGGTTTCCCAAAAAACCAAAAACAGAACTACCACATGATCCAGCAATCCCATTACTGGGTATTTATCCAAAGGAAAGGATGTCAGTATGTCAAAGGGATATTAGCATCCCCATGTTTACTGCAGCACTATTCATGATAGCCAAGGTATAGAATCAACCTAAGTGTCAATCAACAAATAAATGAAGAAAATGTGGTATATATATACAATGGAATACTATTCAGCCATAAAAAGAATGAAACCCTGTCATTTGCAGCAACATGGATGGAACTGGATAGCATCATGTTAAGTGAAATAAGCTAGGCACAGAAAGATAAATTTTGCATGTTCTCACTCATGTGAGAGCTAAAATAAAGGAGATCTCCTGGAGGCAGAGAGTAGAATGATGGCTACCAGATGCTGGGAAGGGGGAGAAGGGTGGTGAAGAGAGGCTGGTTAATGCATACATACAGTTATATTGAAGGAATACGTTGTAGTGTGTGATCACAGACTGGGGTGATTATAGTTATCAATAATTTGCATATTTCAAAATAGCTAGAAGAAAAGATTTGAAATGTTCCCAACACAAAGAAGTGATAAATATTTTAGGTGATGGATATCCTAAATACCCTGGGTTGATCATTACACATTGTATGCATGTACAGAAATATCACATGTACCTCATAAATACGTACAGTTATTATGTATCCAAAAAATGGCCTTCCCATCTGGCCCCCAAAAGATGGTATACAAGCATGAACCATCTTATCTTTCTCTGAATATTTATATCTTGCTTGACTCCCATGCGCACATGTGCATGTAATAATAAAATTTATATGTATTTCTTCCTGTTTAAAAAATGCTATGTACAACAGCATCCCCCCAAAATATTAAATTCTTAGAATAGATTTAACAAAAGAAATGTAAGGCCTGTAAGTTAAAAACTATAAACACTGAGGAGAGAAATCAAAGAAGTAACTAAATGAAGAGATATACCATGGTCAATGTTTGGAAGACTCACTATTGTTAAAATGACAATTTTCCCCATATTAATCTACATATTCAAGACAAACCCAATCAAAATTCTAGCAGGCATTTTTTTTTAGATACTGACAAGCTGGTTTTAAAATTTATATGAAAACGCAAAGGATCAGAAGAGCCAAAAAACATTTTGGGGGAAAAAGGGTGTTGGAGTAATTATACTACCTGATCTCAAGTTATATTATAAAGATACAGGAATCAAGACAGTGTGGTATTGGCATAAAAAGACATAATGATCAATGGAAAAAATTAGAAAGTTCAGAAACAGACCCACACACATATGGGTCAACTGATTTTCAACAAAATTGCCAAGGCAATTCAATTGAGGGAAAAGATAATCTTTTTAACAATGGTACTGAAAAATTCGATATTCATATGCAAGTGCATATACATATTTGCTTATTTTATCCTTACTGTACACAATATGCAAAACTTGAAATGAGTCAGGAATAGAACTAAATGTGAGAGATAAAACTATGAAATATCTGGAAGAAAACATAGGAGAAAATCTTAGTGACCCTGGGTTAGATTTCTTAAATTGTATGCAAAATGCATGAAGTTTAAAAGAAAAAAAATGTACAAACAAGTGCTATGATTTGAATGTGCTATGATCTGAATACCCCATGACAATCAAACCAAAAATGGACAAATAGGATCACATCAAGTTAAATATCTTCAGCACAGCAAAGAAAACAATCAACAAAGTGAAGAGACAACCGACAGAATGAGAAAAAGTAATTTGCAAACTATTCTTCTGACAAGTGATTAATAACCAGAATATATAAGGAGCTCAGACAAGTCAATAGGAAAAAGTCTAATAATCCAATTTAAAAACAGGCAAAAGACCTGAATAGATATTTGTCAAAACAAGACGGACAGGCCGGGCATGGTGGCTCACGCATGTAATCCCAGCACTATGAGAGGCCAAGGAAGGTGGATTGCTTGAGCTCAGGAATTCCAGACCAGCCTGGGCAACATGGTGAAAACTCGTCTTTACCAAAAATACACAAAATCAGCTGGGTATAGTGGCATGCACCTGTGGTCCCAGCTACTCAGGAAGCTGAGGTGGGAGGATCACTTAAGATCGGGAGGCAGAGTTCGCAGTGAGCTGAATTTGCTCCACCGCACTCCAGCCTGGGTGACAGAGTGAGATAACGTCTCAAAATAAATAAATAAATAAAAATTTAAAAGACAGACACACAAATGGCAAACAAGTACATGAAAAGGTGTTAAACATCAATGATCATCAGCAAAATGCAAATCAAAACTACTATGAGGTATCATCTCACCCCAGTTAAAATGGCTTTTATCCAAAAGACAAGCAATAAGAAATGCTGGCAAAGATGTGGAGAAAGGGAACCCTTGTACACTGTTGGCAGGAATATAATTATTAGAGTCACTATAGAGAACAGTTTGGAGGTTTCTCAAAAGACTAAAAATAGAGCTACGATATGATCCTGCAATCCCAATGCTAGGTATATACCCCAAAAAAGGAAATCAGTAAATCTGCACTCCCACATTTATTGAAGCACCATTTCACAATAGCCAAGATTTGGAAGCAACTTAAGTGTTCATCATAACAAAAATGTGCTACATATACACAATGGAGTACTATTCAGCCACAAAAAAGAATGACATCCTGTCACTTGCAACAACATGGATGGAACTGGAGGTCATTGTGTTATGTGAACTATACCAGGCACAGAAAGACAAACTTCACATGCTCTCGCTTATTTGTGGGAGCTAAAAATTAAAACAATTGAACTCATGGAAACAGTAGAACTACCAATAACAGAAGCTACTAGAAAGAGTAGTTGGGGGGGAAGTGGGGATGATTAATGGGTATAAAAATATAGTTAGAATAAATAAGATCTAGTATGTGATAGCACAACAGGGGGACTACAGTCAATAATAATTTATTGTACATTTTAAAATAACTAAGAGTATATAATTAGATTGTTAAACAAATAAAGGATAAATGGTTGAGGTGATAGATACCCCATTTACCCTAATGTGATTAAGCACTGTATGCCTTTAACAAAATATCTCATGTACCCTATAAGTATATACATGTATTATATACCCCAAAATTAAAAATTAAAGAATACAAAATAAGGGGAACAAATAAAAATATATATTCATATTTGCTTATACCTGCATAAACAAACTCTGCTAAAGACAAAACTAGTAATGATGAGTTATTCATACAAAAAGACAAAATTAAGCCCTTACCTCATGCTAACACAATTATGAATTATAAATGGATTAAACATCTAAATGTGACACTAAAGCTTTAAAACGTTCAGAAAAAAATAAGAGAATGAATATCTGCATGATAGACAAATAGACATATGCACACATTTTAGAATAATAATAACCCTAAAAGGAAGGAATGCACACCAACTTTGAGAGTGACTACAGCTTGGGAAAGAGAGATTGAGACAGTAAAGAAAATTTCAACTTTATCCACTGTACACCATTTTTTTAATCTTGACTAATGTAACAAATCATTAACATTTGTTAAATTAAGGTGGCAACTACATGGGTATGCAATATATTATTCTCTGTTCTTTTTTAGAAGTTTGAAAATTTAAAGAAAACAATGTCTTTACTTTTTTTTTTTTTTTTTTGGACACAGGGTCTTGCTCTGTCACCCAGGCTGGAGTGCAGTGGTATAATCATGGCTCACTGCAGCCTTGACCTCCAGGGTTCAAGCAATCCTCCTGCCTTAGCCTCCCAAGTAGCTAGGACCACAGGTGTGTGCCACCACACCTGGCTAATTTACTACTACTTAATATTCAAATACCCACTGTTGGAAAACAGTTTCTATCTATACCTCGCTGTTTAATACACTGGTTTTCTATAAATTTAGCAAGGTACTGAAACTGGTGTGCTATCTGCCAGCCATGAGTCAAGTGGCTTCTCCTAATAGTGAAAGCAGGGAACAACCAGGGCAAAGACTCTGCACTCAAAGGACCAAAGAAGGGACCCCCAGCTGGTACCACCAGCCACTCCACTGCCAATGAGGTTTCTCCCCAATGTTGAGTGTATGGAAATCTAACGCCATCGGCCTACACACACTAAATATATTTGTTCTATAGAATTTTTTAAATTTAACCATGAAGAAAACTCTAAACTCTCCTCCAGATTTTGATTCTCACCCAGTTCCTTAACGCTATGAAAAATAAACACGAACACTGGCCGGGCACAGTGGCTCACGCCTGTAATCCCAGCACTTTGGGAGGCCGAGGCAGGCAGATCACCCGAGGTTGGGAGTTCAAGGCCAGCCTGACCAACATGGAGAAACCCCATCTCTACTAAAAATACAAAATTAGCCAGGCGTGGTGGTGCATGCCTGTAATCCCAGCTACTCAGGAGGCTGAGGCAGGAGAATCACTTGAACCCGGGAAGCAGAGGCTGCAGTGAGCCAAGATTGCACCATTGCACTCCAGCCTGGGCAACAAGAGCGAAACTCCATCTCAAAAAGAAAAAAGAGAAAAGAAAAAGAAAAACACGAACATTAACTCTGCACATTTCTAAATTAACCACTTAACCAGACGCGGTGGCTCACGGCTATAATCCCAATACTTTTCAAGGTCAAGGTGGGAGAACTCCTTCAGGCCAGGAGCCTGAGATGAGCCTGGGAAACACGGTGAGGCTCTGTCTCTACAAAAAATTAATTAATTAATTAAAAATAATAATAATAAATAAAAATGGAGCCTGGGAGGCAGAGGTTGCCGTGAGCCTTGATCATGCCACTGCACTCTAGTCTGGGTGACAGAGCCAGACCCTGTCTCAAAATTAATAAATAAATATATTGAGCTGTATGAATCAGATCAGCTTGGACACCCACACATCCTTTTTCATCAGTGACCTTCTAACAGATCTAGACTCACACCAAATAAGAGTCTTGAAGAGTAAAATTAATAATCATAATAATATAATAATAGTAGCTGCATGTCAACTACAATCCTATGTTGCTTCTTGCCATCCCATGAAGTATATTTTTCACTGATAAGTTTTCCAGTGTGTGGACATGTTATTGTTTTTGTTACTCTTTTCCCTTGGCTCTTAGGATTAGAAATCATCAGTTTCAGAGAAAACCTGGTGAGAGAAAGAGCCTATCTCACAATATATAATAGAAAGTAAAAATGCCAGGTACTCATTGCCTAGACTCCCTTACAGGTTATAATTTTTTCTCTTTCCACGCCTAAAATCTTTTTTTTTTGAGGGTTTTGCTGTGTCATCCAGGCTGAAGTGCAGTGGTGCAAACACAGCTCACTGCAGCCTCCACCTCCAGGGCTCAGGCTCCTGAGTAGCTAAGACTAGGTACCTGCCACCACGCCTGGCTAATTTTTTTATTTTTTATAGAGACAAGGTCTCATTATATTGCTCAGGCTGGTCTCAAACTTTCAAGCTCAAGTGGTCCTCCCTCCTCAGCCTCTGAAAGTGCTGGGATTATAGGTGTAAGCCACCGCACCCAGCCTTAATTATTTTCTGATCTTATTGCATAGAATAGGACTGCCTGTAAACTATTGAATGTAAGAAATGATAGTAGGCGCCGGGCACAGTGGCTCACGCCTGTAATCCCAGCACTTTGGGAGGCCGAGGCGGGCGGATCACGAGGTCAGGAGATCGAGACCATCCTGGCTAACACAGTGAAACCCCGTCTCTACTAAAAATACAAAAAAATTAGCCGGACGTGGTGGCACGCCCCTGTAGTCCCAGCTACTCGGGAGGCTGAGGCAGGACAATGGCGTGAACCCAGGAGGCGGAGCTTGCAGTGAGCTGAGATCACGCCACTGCACTCCAGCCTGGGTGACAGAGACTCTGTCTCAAAAAAAAAAAAAACAAAAAAAACAAACAAACAAGAAATGATAGTAGGCATCCTTGTATTGTTCCTGACTTTAAAGAAAATACTTTTAATAAATCAATTTTGAGTATGATGTTTGCTATAGGTTTCTTTAAAGCTTATTTTGAAATAATCAGAGGGAGTTGCAAAAATAGTAGAGAGGTCCTATGTACCCTTCACCTAGTTCCCAACAATAGTTAAATCTTACATAACTATAGTACAATATCAAAAAGAAAAAACCTGATGTGTGTGCGTAGTTCTGTGCTATTTATCACATATGTAGACCCATGTTACTATTGCCACAATCAAGATATAAAACTATTCCATCAACACGAAGATCTCCCTCTTGCTACCACTTTATAGTCATATCTACACCCTCCCTCATCATCCCAAACCATTGGAACCATTAATCTGCTCTCCATCTCCATCATTTTGTCATTTGCAGAATGTTATACCCAGAGAATCACACAGAATATGACCTTATGAGATTGTTTTTTTTCCACTCAGCATAATGCCAAGTTGTTGAATGTATCACTCACATAGTTGGATTATGTTTTTATATCCAATATGCCAACTGTCTTTAAATTTGTGTGTTTAGACTATTTACATTTAACGTAATTATTAAAATGTTAGGGCTTAAGTCTGACATTTTATTTTCTATTTTCCGTTTTCTTTTTCCTGCCTTCCTGTGGATTAAATATTTTTCAAATTTCTACACCTTTTATCTATCATTAACAGGGGTTAACAGGAGTTAGCGAAGGGGAGGAGCCATGGTCTTTCCATGGCATGTGGCTAGAGTAGCGTGGTTATTGTCCAAAAGTTTCTGTCTTGCTATGTTTCCTCTTTCACCATCTTTTAAAGAGAAAAGGCTGTTTTTGGCTTTCTTGGGGTGTATGTTCCCATTGCCATTTCTGACTAAGTTGCCAGTTGATCCAACACTTACGTTATATGAGGCAAATAAACAATCAAGCAAGTCCAGGGAACTCACTGCTATGTCATTCCATGGGTCGTGAAACCCCTAGCTGGTCTGTCGTCTTCTCTTTACCTTTCAAATTCTTCCTATGTTTGTTTTACATACAGTGTCCAGGGTTTTGAGCTATACTTAGCAGGAGCAATACAGAACAATCCATCCTGGTCCAGAAAAGAAAGGTCCCTTTTGAATTTACCATGAATTTTTATCATGAATGCTTACTGAATTTTATCAAATGCTTTTTCTGCATCTGTTGAGATGATCCAAGGATGTTTCCTCTTTAGTCTGTTAATGCTACAGATTTTAGATGATTAACAGATACAATACATTAACATATTTTCAGATGATAAACCACTCTTTTATTCCTAAAATCAACTTAACTTGATAATGCTGTATTATTGGTTTATATGAAGCTAAATACATTTTAACAATGTCTTTAGGACTTTTGGTCCTTTATTTAGGCTTGAAAATGGCCTTAGTATTTATTTACAAAAATGTTATTGTCTGGTGATAGTAATATTAAATTACTATCATCATAAAGTAAGTTAGGGAAAGTTCCCTCTATTACGATTAAAACTCCGGCTCAGAGACACCAGGAATCAGAAGATACTAACAGGCAAATGCTGGCTTTAGCACCTGCTCATGTTTTCTTATTGTTTCTGGCCTTCCAATAATTCAACTATGTAGGAAAAAAATTGCTCATTTTGTCCCTGTCAATAGCATATTCAGGTGTACTAGAATGAGAATAGTTTCCTCAGAAAACTAGTTTATCACATTCCAGAAAATAAAAACCCTATCCTTGAAATTTATTACATCTGAATTTTAACTAAACCACATCTCTAAATTCTTCCCAGAAAAAAAACACAACCTTAGACTACTTTAACTACAATCTCTACTTTCTGCTTTACATCCTATTGTTGTCAGGAACTTTATTTCCATCTTGTTTGTAAAACTGTAACATATTAGACATAATTAAAATTATAGTAGTTTTATAAAGTATATTTATTTATTTTTGGTTTGTTTTTGAGACAGTCTCACTCTGTCACCCAGGCTGGAGTACAGTGGTGAGATCATGGCTGACTGCCGCCTTGACCTCCTGGGCTCAAATAATCCTCCCACCTCAGACTCCCCAGTAGCTGGGATTACAGGCGTGTGCCACCACACCTAGCTAATTTTTTAAATTTTTTGTAGAAACAGGGTCTATGTTGCCCAGGCTGGTCTCAAACTCTTGACCTCAAGTGATCCTCCCACCCCAGCCTTCCAAAGTGTTGGGATGATAGGCATGAGCCACCACTAAAGTATATTTATTTACATTTACTCATGTTTAACAACTGTTCTACTCAATAGTCTTTCTTGTATCTCAATCCTTCCTTCTCATTTCAATTTCCCTCTTCCAGAAGCAACTGTGAGAGACTGTTCAATTTTTCACTTATTCAACAAATACTTACTAAATGCCTACTATGTGCCAAGGATTGTTCAAGTTAGTAGAGATACAGCAGTGGAGAAAGAAAAATCCCTTTCATCACTGAGCTTACATTCTCACATTTTTGTCTGAAATGTCTATTTTACTTTCAATTTTGAATAATTTAGCTAGTAAAAAAATTCTAGATAGTAATTTCTCTCAGGATCTCTATTGTTACTATTACGGTCTTAATCTGTCATTCCTTTGTAGATAATCTGTCTTTTCTTCCAATTAACTTCATGAAGTCCAGCCATTTCTCATTAAATATTGCCTCTCCTCTCCTCTCCTTTTTCCCCCCTAGAGAACTTCTATTAACTATGTTGGACTTTCTCATTTTATCTGCAATGTCACTCAGCCTCTCTCTTTCTCCCTCTGTTACATAATGGGTAATTTCTTTCTAGTATACATTCAAAAATTCAATAATACTCTTCACTTGTTTAACTTTTCCCTTGAGTTTTTCTTTTTGGTTCTTTTTCAAATATACCTAGTTTCTTTTGTTTTGTTCTTGTTGTTGTTGTTGATTGTTTGTTTGTTTTTGAGACAGAGTCTTGTTCTGTTGCCTAGGCTGGAATACAGTGGTGCGATCTCCACTCACTGCAACCTCTGCCTCCAGGGTTCAAGTGATTCTCCTGCCTCAGCCTACTCAGTAGCTGGGATTACAGGCATGCACCACTACACCCAGCTATTTTTGTATTTTTAGTAGAAAAGGGGTTTTATTGTGTTAGTCAGGATGGTCACCAACTCCTGACCTCAGGTGATCCACTCATCTCCACCTCCCAAAGTGCTGGGATTATATGCGTGAGCCACCATGCCCAGCCTGGTCTTTTTTCTAAATATAGTATCCCTTTCTTTTTCGATTCCTTTTTAAATGTCTATAATCATTTCATACTCATTTTGATTTATACTCAGTCTGCTATCACCAGTTAATGAAGGTCTGATTATGTTCTACGTCATGTATCATGACACTCTGGTTGGCTATTTTTTTTGTAGGTTTTATAATTTTGCATTATGAACTCATGTAAAGTGTAGCTGTATCCACAGAAATTTGTGTAACCTGATGTGAGAGTGTGGCCCAAAGTTGTTTTCTAGCTTTGGACTGTCTTTTTGGGGTAGCTTACTGGCTTAGGGATTGCTGAACCATGTAAATTAAACAAATTTGAATCTCAGACTTTCATGAGCACAAGCCTCTGGTTATGAATACTCAAGTCAGACACTTTTTCCCCCATCCACCCAGAACTCAGACTAAGATGAATAAACTTGCTTTTCATCTTCCTGTGAATATTTTCTAGGCCAGGCTTTAACTGAGCATATGACCCTTTGAGAATCCTAGCTTTATGGAAGCAAGGATCTTATTTCCAGCTACCTGACTCATCACCTTGTCTCTTGTCACCAGGAAGCCATTATAACCTATGCCTTTATGGTAAGAATGCCTTTGCTGCCTTATGTATTAGGTCAGGCTGCCTTAATAAGACACCATAGATTGAATGGCTTAAACAACAATAATTTATTTCTCACAGTTCTGGAGGCTGTAAAGTCCAAGATCAAGATGCCAGCCGATTTTGTTCCTCAGTAAGGGCTCATACTTCCTGGCTTGCAGATGGCTGCGCTCTCACTGTGTCCTGATACCAGATGCAGGGGAGACCGGGAAAGGAGTACAAACTGCCTGGTGCTGTTCTTATAAGGGTACTAACCCCATCATGAAGGCCCTACCCTCATGACCTTATCTAAACCAAATGACCTCCAAAAGGCCTCATCTACAAATACCATCACATTGGGAGCTGGGGTTTCAACATAGGGATTTGGTGGAGGGCATCACAATTCAGTCCACCTTATGAAGAGAAGTGAATTTATACATACCACTTAGGGCACTGCCCTGGAACACAGTTAGCACTCAATATATTGTGTGTTATTTCCATTTAACTTAACCTATACAGCCACCAGAAAAGGTGGGTACTATTGTTTCCCCATTTTGCAGGTGAGAAACCTGGAATTCAAAGAGGCCTTGCCCAAGGTCCCACAGCTCAAGGTCTGGAACTAAAATCTAGGTGTATGTAATGGCATAAATTAGCTGGGCTATTTATTAGGGGGTGGGAGGCTATTCCACTAGGAGTAACACGTCATTAACAACTGCTCCTCCACCAACTCTCATGTTCTTAAAGCATTAGTTCTACTTTCTACTCTGGTTTTTAAATTGTTTTCCATTTTAGCCCAAGGGAGAGCCGCCTTACTTTCTTGGGAGCTAAATTATATCCTTAATGGGATATTTGTTATATTTGGTCAGTATTTCTAAGCTTTTGCAGTACAAGGGTTTGAGGTCATGTAGTTTATAATATTCTGCCTTTCATGCTTTCATATCTCATGTGGCTTTATTCTTAAATATTTTATTTTTTTGAGACAGAGTCTCACTCTGTCACCCAGGATGGAGTGCAGTGGCACAATCTCAGCTCACTGCAATCTCCACCTCCTGGGTTGAAGCGATTCTTGTGCCTTAGCCTCCTGAGTGGCTGGGACTACAGGCACACGCCACTGTGCTTGGCTAATTTTTGTATTTTTAGTGGAGACAGGTTTTCGCCATGTTGGCCAGGCTGGTCTCCAACTCCTAGCCTCAAGCGATCCACTAATCTCGGCCTCCCAAAGTCCTGGGATTACAGGCATGAGCCAGTGCGCCTGGCCTATTCTTAGATATTTTATACCTCTGTGCTACTGTGGATGGGATATTTTTTCTCTTACTTTTTGTGACAACTTATTACTAATGCATAGAAAAGTTATTCTTATAGATTGCTCTGATTACCTTAGGGTCTAACTTCATGCAAAAGTGAAGCAGTCTTCCAAGTAAGCTCAGGTTTCTTAGTACATGTTAGCTCAGATATTTTTATCCAAAGTATACAGATAAGTTTGCAACTCAGAATAGCTACACTCAAAGCTCTTAATTTATTTCCATTATAGAAAGTACATTACCGGGTGGGTGCAGTGGCTGATGCCTGTAATCCCCACACTTTCAGAGGCCGAGGCAGAAGGATCACTTGAGCCCAGGAGTTCAAGGCCAGCCTGGGCAACATAGTGCAGCCTCAACCTCCCAGGCTCAAGCCATCCTCCCGCCTCAGCCTCCGGGGTAGCTAGGACTACAGACATGCACTACCACACCCAGCCAAAATTTAATAAAATAAACTTTTTATTACAATCTTTAATAATACTGCTCTACAATGAGTTTTATGATAAGCCGTAATGATGAGGGACAGAGAAACAGACATTCTCATACACTGTAGGTAAATGTGTAATTTGGAACAGTCTTTAGGGAGGGCAATTTGGCAGAATCTATCAAAGTCTTAAAAAGCACAGACCTGTGCTCTCCCAGTACTACTACTCATATTGCTATACTTGCACATTTGCAAAAATAAAGATACTCATTGTAATCTATTTGGCAATAGTAAAATGTTAGAATCAGCCTAAATGTTCAATAGAAGATGAGTAGATAAGTTAAAATACACCTATATAATGAAATACTATGCAATAAAAATAAGGCAGATTTACGGGTACCCACATGGAATAATTTCCAAAATACATGAATGTAAAAACACAAATCATCTAGACTTAAGACCTGACACACACACACACGATAAAAAGTATGCATAGGATGCTACCACTTACATTTTCAAAAGTGAAGACAGGCACACATATGCTTATAAGATAAAAAATCTAGAAGAACACACAAAGAACCTTGTTTTAGTACATGCCTCTCTCCAAGGACAACTGAGAGGAAGACATGAGAAGATTTACTTTTCACCGTATATTCTTTATTCTTACTTAAAATTATCATGTGAATATATTATGTGTTTAAAACATAAATAGGATGCTGACTTAAAATATTTCAGCTTAAAATGACTTTTATATTTGCCACACAAAACTGCCAAAAACAATTTTAAAACTTCTCCCAAGCACAGTATTGCACTCCTGTAGTCCCAGCTACTTGGAAGGCTGAGGCAGGAGGATTCATTGAGCCCAGGAGTTAGTACAGCCTAAGCAACATAGAGAGACCCCCATCTCTTTAAAACAAACAAAAATACAAAACACTTCTATGGGGCATTGCAAGATTTCTGCAACAATGACCACTAACAAGAGTCCATCAAAGATAAGTTTATAGGCCAGATGCAGTGGCTCACACCTGTAATCCCAGCACTTTGGGAGGACGGTGTGGGCAGATCACTTGAGGTCAGGAGTTCAAGACCAGCCTGGCCAACATGGTGAAACCCCATCTCTACTAAAAATACAAAAATTAGCCGGGCATGGTGGCACATGCCTGTAGTCCCAGCTACTCGGGAGGCTGAGGAATGAGACTCGCTTGAACCCAGGAGGCGGAGGCTGCAGTGAGCTAAGATCGTGCCACTGCACTCCAGCCTGGGTGACTAAGTGAGACTCTGTCTCAAAAAAAAAAAATAAGTTTATTAAACAGGGAATGGTTTACAATAATTTCAAATGTCAGCCCCGCAAGTAGGAATAAGTCAAACAGTGTAGCAGTGCCAGTAAATAAAACTTTCTGTGATGATGAAGGAATTCTGTGTCTGCACTGTCAACTGTAGTACCCATCAGCTTTATGTGGCTAATGAGTATGTGAAATGTGGTTAGTGTAACTGAGAAAATGAATTTTTAAATTCATTTAATTTTAACAAATTTACATTTAAATACCCACATGTAGCTAGTGAAAACTATACTGGACAGGAAGCTATATACAAATTGAGTGGAGGAAATGGTAAGCAGGTGTGCATGGATAGAAATCAATCGCTCAAAATATGGAATAAGGTCAATTTAAAACATTTATTAGGAATTATTTGTTCTTGAAATGCATAAGGTAACTTAAATGCTTTCTAGAAGGAAAAAAAAATTTTTTTTTTAGTAACTGGGTATTATTTTGTTGTCCAGGCTGGTCTTGAACTCCTGGGCTCAAGCGATCCACCCACCTTGGCCTCCCAAAGTGGTGAGATTACAAGCATGAGCCAACATGACTGGCTGAGAAAACTGTTCTTATTGCCGTGTGCTTAAAAGAAGGGTAAGGCACCTAAGGAAAGTATTAGTCCACTAGAAGGGAAACATAACACTAAAAATAAGGTTTTCTTACTGTTATCTCAAATGTCAGTCTGGGAATAATTAAATAAGTAACAAAATTTGTCATGTAAAATGGAAATAGAATGAAGAATGATGTAGGGAAAAGAAGGGGGTAGAAAAGGGAATGAAAAACAGCAGCAATGTATAGAACTATATCATTGCCAAGTTTTCTCAAGATTCCTCATTTGGCTGGGCGTGTGGCCCATGCCTAAAATCCCAGCACTTTGGGAGGCCGAGGTGGGCGGATCACTTGAGGTCAGGAGTTTGAGACCAGCCGGGCCAACATGTTGAAACCCCATCTCTACTAAAAATGCAAAAATTAGCTGGGTGTGGTGGTGCGCACTTGTAACTCCAGCTGCTTAGGAGGCTGAGGCAGGAGAATTGCTTGAATCTGGGAGGTGGAGGTTGCAGTGAGCCAAAGTCATGCCACTGCACTTCAGCCTGGGTGACAGAGCAAGACTCTATTTTAAAAATAATAATAATAACTAAAGTGGAAGGGAGGCTGGGCGTGGTAGCTCATGCCTCTAATCCCAGCACTTTGGGAGACTGAGGCAGGCAGATCACTTGAGGTCAGGAGATCAAGACTAGCCTGGCCAACATGGTAAAACCCCATCTCTACTAAAAATACAAAAATTAGCCGGTGCGGTGGTATATGCCTGTAATCCCAGCTACTCAGGAGGCTGAAGCAGGAGAATCGCTTGAACTCGTGAGGCGGAGACTGCAGTGAGCCGTGATTGTGCCACTGTACTCCACCCTGGGTGACACAGCAAGACCCTGTCTCAAATAAGCAAACAAACAAACAAACAAAGTGGAAAGGAAAGCATAATGTGAGGGAGACATATTGTTAAGTGAGAAAATTATAGATAATTTTAATCATTTTGTGAAACAGGACACTTTTATTAATTGCAAGGTGGATAAACAGTGAAAAACAGATTTTGTAAGAGAATTCCAAGTAGTAAAGTCAGTAAGGATCATAAATTGGAAAGTCAATGAAAAGCAACAAAAATATTCCTTGAAACTATCAGAGTGATATGGTTTCGATTTGTGTCCCCACCCAAATCTCATGTTGAATTGCAATCCCCAGTGTTGGAGGTGGGGCCTGGTGGGAGGTGACTGGATCATGGGGGTGGAGTTCTCATGAAAGCTTTAGCCTTTAGCACCATCCTCTTTGTGCTGTTCTGGTGATGGCAAGTGAATGAGGAGTTATGAAATCTGGTTGTTTTAAAAGTGTGTAGCACCTCCCCACTCTTGCTCTTGCTTCTGCCATGTAAGATGTCTCTGCCTCCCTTTCGCCTTCCACCATGATTGTAGGTTTCCTGGGGCTTCCCCAGAAGCAGAAGTGCCACCATGCTTCCTGTACAGCCTGCAGAACTGTGAGCCAATTAAACCTCTTCTTTATAAATTACCCAGTCTCAGGTATTTCTTTATAGCAGTACGAGAACAGACTAATACAGAGTAATAGTCTAAAGAGTATGAAAGGGCAGATCTATTTCAGATTGTGCCCCCTCCCTAATTGCATTTTATTATATGAATTCCAAGGAGTCACTGAATGTTCCAAGAAGGGTATTATTTCATCTCAAAATTAGATGGGTGCCTTATTAAAAGGGAAAGCAAATCTGAAAGCAATTGGTCTAGAGTTCTGCTTTGAACAGGGTCTACAGAATAAGGAACAAACAGCAGGGATGGCAGGTAGACTTGCAGAGGTATCGTTCCAGAAAGGGGAGTTTACAAGTTGGCAAAGTAACACGCTCTTTTATCCACAGACTTAAAAATGACAGTTATCTACTGGCTGATAGAGATATCCAAGATGTATTTTAAGTAAAAATACATAATACATTTTGTAAAAGCAAACCAAAAACCTCACATGACATACAAAAATTAACTTAAAAATGTATCAAAGATCTGACTATAATAGCTGAAAGTATACAAACTCTTGCAATGGTTTCTTAGCTATAATGCCCAAAGCACAAGCAACCAAAGAAAAAATATGTAGATAAATTAGTCTTCATCAAAATTAAAACTTTTGCACTTTAAAGGATACTATTAAGAAAGCGAAAAGCACAGAATGGGAGACAATGTTTGCAAGTAATATATCTAATAAGAGTTTTGTATCTAGCATATACATAAAGAACACATACAATTCAATAAAAAGACAAATAATCCAATTTTTAAATGGGCAAAGGATCTGAATAAATATTTCCCCAAAGAAGATATACAAATGGCCAATGAGGCCAGGCATAGTGGCTTACACCTGTAAGCCCAGCACTTTGGGTGGCCTAGGTGGGAGGATCACTTGGGCCCAGGAGTTCGTGACTAGCCTGGGTAACACAGGGAGATCCCCATCTCTACTAAATAAATAAATAAATAAATAAATAAATAAATAAAAATTAATTTCTTCTCTGCAGAGTTCATAGAAAAAAATATTTTTTTTTAATTAGCCAAGCGTGGTGGTGGTGCACACCTGTAGTCCCAGCTACTCAGGAGACTGGAGTGGGAGTACTGCTTGAGCCCAGAAGTTCAAGGTTGCAGTGAGCTATGATCCAACCACTGCATTCCAGCCTGAGTTACAGAATAAGACTCCATGTCAAAAAATAAATAAAAATAAATAAATGGTCAATAAATACATGAAAATATGCATAACAACCACTAGTCATTAGGGAAATGTAAATCAAAACCACAGTAAGATATCATTTCACACCCATTAGGATGACTTAAAAGACAGATAATAGTAACTTTGAGCTTGAATGTGGAAAAGGTGGAACCATCATATACTGCTGGTGGGAATCCACAATGATACAGCCACTTTGAAAAATAGTGCACACAGAAATATGCCACACAGGAACATGTACACAAGTGTATCTAGCAGCATTATACATAACATCCAAACAGCAGAAACAACCCAAATGTCCATGAACTAATGAATGGGTAAACAAACTGTGGTAATATCCATACACTAGAGTTTTTGTGTGTGTGTTTTTTTTTTTTTTTTTTGAGATGGAGTCTCACTCTGTCACCAGGCTGGAGTGCAGTGGCGCGATCTCAGCTCACTGCAAACTCCGCCTCCTCAGTTCAAGTGATTCCCCTGCTTCAGCCTCCCGAGTAGCTGGGACTACAGGTGTGCGACACCACACCCAGCTAATTATTGCACTTTTAGTAGAGATGGGATTTCACCATGTTGGCCAGGATGGTCTCGATCTCTTGACCTCGTGATCCACCTGCCTTGGTCTCCCAAAGTGCTGGGATTACAGGTGTGAGCCACTGTGCCACACCCGGCCTACACTATGGTATTATTCAATCATTAAAAAGAATGACATGCTGATACAAACCACCATATGGATGAACCCTAAAAAATTATGCTAAGTTAAAAAAGCCAGTCACAAGGACCATAAATTATATGATACCTTTTAGATGACATAACCAGAACTGCAAAATCCATAGAGACAGAAGACAGATTAGTGGTTACCAGGGGATAGAGGGAAAGGGAGTGATTATTTAATGTGTATGGGTATTTTTCTTGGGATGATGAAAAAATTTTGGAAGTAGAGAGACACAATAATTGCATGACACTGTGAACATACTAAAAGCCACTGAATTGCACACTTTCAAATAGTTAATTGTATGTTATGTGACTATCACCTCAATTTTTAATTTTTTTTAATTTTTATTTTTGAGACAGGGTCTCCCTCTGCTGCTCACTCCAGCCTGGACAACAGAGGGAGTGGCACAATCTCAGCTCACTACAACCTCTGCCTCCCAGGCTTAGTGATCCTCCTACCTCCCAGCCTCCAAGTAGCTGGGACTAGAGGCATGTGCCACTATGCCCAGCTAATTTTTGCATTTTTTTTAGAGATGGGGTTACATCATGTTGCCCAACCTGGTCTCAAACTCCTGGGCTCAAGCAATCCATCCACCTCAGCCTCCCAAAGTACTGAGATTACAAGCATGAGCCACTGTGCCCAGCCTCACCTCAAGTTTTAAAAAATCCACACAAAATTTTATACACAAATGTTCATACCAGCATTACTCATTACAGTCCAAAAGTGGAAACAATGCAATGTCCATCAACTGATGAATGAATAAACAAATTATAGTATACCCATATAATGGAATATTATTCAGGCATAAAAAGGAACAATGTACTGATACACACTACAACTTGGATGAACCTAAAAAAATGATGTTAAGTGAAAGAAAGCAGCTACAAAAGACTACATATTATATTATTCCATTCACATAAAATGTCCAGAATGAGTAATTCTACAAAGACAGAAAGTAGATTCGTGGTTTCCCAGTTGGAGGAACCTCCCTAGTGGGAGGTTGGAGAAAATGGAAATGATTGCTAATGGCTAAGAGGTTTCTTTCTTACAGTGATAATAATATTCTAAAATTTATTGTGGTGACAGTTACACAACTCTGTGAATACATTAAAAACCACTGGATTTATACTTTAAAGGGATGAATTGCATGGTATGCAAACTACACCTCAATAAAGCTATTTTTTTTAAAGTAAACCAAAAGGGCATGTATATATGTGTGTGTGTTTGTGTGTGTGTATTAGTCTGTTCTTGTATTGCCATAAATACCTGAAACGTGGTGATTTATTTAAAAAAGAGGTTTAATTGGCTCACAGTTCCACAGGCTATACAGGAAGCACGGCTGGGGAAGCCTCAGGAAGCTTACAATCAAGGTATAAGGTGAAGGGAGATATAGCACTTCACATGGCCAGAGCAGGAGGAAAAGAGTGAGGGGTGAGGTGCTATACACTTTTAAATAACCAGATCTCATGAGAACTATAACAAGAATAGCACCAAGGGATGGTGTTAACCCATTCATGAGAACTCCACCCCATTATCCATCACCTCCCATTAAGCCCCACCTCCAACACTGGGGATTACAATTCAACATGAGATTTGTGGGAGGCACAGAGGCAAACCATATCATTCTGCCCCTGGCCTCTCCAAATCTCATGTCCTTCTCACACTACAAAATATAATCATGCCTTCCCAACAGTCCTCCAAAGTCTTAACACATTCCAGCATTAACTCAAAGGTCCAAAATCCAAAGTGACATCTGAGACAAGGCAAGCCCCTTCCAGCTATGAGACTGTAAAATCAAACACATTAGCTACTTTGAAGATATAATGGGGGTACAGGCATTGGGTAAATACTCCACTTTGAAAGGAGAAATTGGGCAAAAGAAAGGGGTCATAGGCCCCACGCAAGTCCCAAACCCAGTAGGCAGTCATTAAATCGTAAAGCTCCAAAATAATCTCCTTTGACTCCATGTCTCACATCCAGGGCACACTGATGCAAGGAGTGGGCTCCCAAGGCCTTGGAAAGTTCCAAATCTTTCCAGGATTCAGCCTTCAGAGTTGCTCTCACAGGCTGGCGTTGAGTGCCTGTGGCTTTTCCAGGCACAGTGTGCAAGTTGCCAATGGATCTACCATTCTAGGTTCTCAAAGACAGTGGCCCTCTTCTCACAGCTCCACTAGGCAGTGCCCCAGTGTGGACTCTGTGGGGGGGCTCCCACCCCACATTTCCCCTCTGCACTGCACTAGTAGAGGTTCTCCATGAGGGCTCAAACCCTGCACTAGGCTTCAGCCTGGACATCCAGGCTTTTCCATACATCCTCTGAAATCTAGATGGAGGCTCCCAAGCCTCAACTCCTGCACTCTGTGCATCCACAGGCTTAACACCAAGTGTAAACCACCAAGGCTTACAGTTTACACTCTCTGAAGCAGCAGCCCAAGCTATACCTGGGCCCTTCTGAGCCCAGCTGGTGCTAGAGATGCCAGGATGCACAGAGCAGTGCTCCAGGATGCATGGAGCTGTGCAGTGCAGCAAGGCCCTGGGCCTAGCCAAGAAAATCATTCTTCCTTCCTAGGCCTCTGGGCCTGTGATGGGAGAGGCTGCCACAAAGTTCTCTGAAACGCCTTCAAGGTCTTTTCCTCGTTGTCTTGAAAAATTAGCACTTGGCTGCTCTTTACTTAGGCAGATTTCTGCAGCCTGATTGAATTCCTCCACTGAAAATGGGGTTTTTCTTTTCTACCACATGGCTAGGCTACAAATTTCCCAAACTTTCATGCTCTGCTTCCCTTTTAAATAAGTTCCAGTTTCAGGTCATTTCCTTGCTCATGCATATGAATGCAGGCTGTTAGAAGCAGCCAGGCCACATCTTGAATACTCTGCTGGTTGGAAATTTCTTCCACCACATACCCTAAATCATCACTTTCAAGTTCAAATTTCCACAGATCCTGTTGAAATGAAGGAAAAAATGTTAAGGGAGCCAGAGAGAAAGGTCGGGTTACCCTCAAAGGGAAGCCCATCAGACTAACAGCAGATCTCTTGGCAGAAACTCTACAAGCCAGAAGAGAGTGGGGGGCCAATATTCAACATTCGTAAAGAAAAGAATTTTCAACCCAGAATTTCATATCCAGCCAAACTAAGCTTCATAAGTGAAGGAGAAATAAAATCCTTTACAGACAAACAAATGCTGAGAGATTTTGTCACCACCAGGCCTGCCTTATAAGAGCTCCTGAAGGAAGCACTAAACATGGAAAGGAACAACCAGTACCAGCCACTGCAAAAACATGCCAAATTGTAAAGACCATCGATGCTAGGAAGAAACTGCATCAACTAACAAGCAAAACAACCAGCTAACATCATAATGACAGGACCAAATTCACACATAACAATATTAACCTTAAATGTAAATGGGCTAAATATTCCAATTAAAAGACACAGACTGGCAAATTGGATAAGAGTCAAGACCCGGCCGGGCATGGTGGCTCACACCTGTAATCCCAGCACTTTGGGAGGCCAAGGTGGGTGGATCACGAGGTCAGGAGATCGAGACCATCCTGGCTAACATGGTGAAAACCCGTCTCTACTAAAAATACAAAAAATTAGCCGGGCACGTTGGCAGGCGCCTGTTGTCCCAGCTACTCAGGAGGCTGAGGCAGGAGAATGGCGTGAACCTGGGAGGCAGAGCTTGCAGTGAGCTGAGATCACGCCACTGCACTCCACCCTGGGTGACAGAGCGAGACTCTGTCTCAAAAAAAAAAAAAAAAAGTCAAGACCCATCAGTGTGCTGTATTCAGGAGACCCATCTGACAGGCAGAGACACATATAGGCTCAAAATAAAGGGATGGAGGAAGATCTACCAAGCAAATGGAAAACAAAAAAAAGCAAAGGTTGCAATCCTAGTCTCTGACAAAACAGACTTTAAACCAACAAAGATCAAAAGAGACAAAGAAGGCCATTACATAATGGTAAAGGGATCAATTCAACAAGAAGAGCTAACTATCCTAAATATATATGCATCCAATACAGGAGCACCCAGATTCATAAAGCAAGTCCTTAGAGACCTACAAAGAGACTTAGACTCCTACACAATAATAAGGGGAGACTTTAACACCCCACTGTCAACGTTAGACAGCTCAATGAGACAGAAAGTTAACAAGGATATCCAGGAATTGAACTCACCAAGAATTGAACTCTGCACCAAGCGGACCTAATAGACGTCTACAGAATTCTCCACCTCAAATCAACAGAACATACATTATTTTCAGCACCACATCATACTTATTCCAAAAGTGACCACATGTTTGGAAGTAAAGCACTCCTCAGCAAATGTAAAAGAACAGAAATTATAACAAACTGTCTCTCAGACTACAGTGCAATCAAACTAGAACTCAGGATTAAGAAACTCACTCAAAACCGCTCAACTACATGGAAACTCAACAACCTGCTCCTGAATGACTACTGGATGCATAACAAAATGAAGGCAAAAATAAAAATGTTCTTTGAAACCAATGGAACAAAGACACAACATACCAGAATCTCTGGTACACATTTAAAGCAATGTGTAGACGGAAATTTATAGCACTAAATGCCCACAAGAGAAAGCAGGAAAGATCTAAAATTCACACCCTAACGTCACAATGAAAAGAACTAGAGAAGCAAGAGCAAACACATTCAAAAGCTAGCAGAAGGCAAGAAATAACTAAGATCAGAGCAGAACTGAAGGAGATAGAGACACAAAAAACCCTTCAAAAAAAAATCAATGAATCCAGGAGCTGGTTTTTTGAAAAGATCAACAAAATTGATAGACCGCTAGCAAGACTAATAAAGAAGAAAAGAGAGAAGAATCAAATAGACGCAGTAAAAAATGATAAAGGGGATATCACCACCGATCCCACAGAAATACAAACTACCATCAGAGAATAATATAAACACCTCTATGCAAATAAACTAGAAAATCTAGAGGAAAAGGATAAATTCCTCGACACATACACTCTCCCAAGACTAAACCAGGAAGAAGTTGAATCCCTGAATAGACCAATAACAGGCTCTGAAATTGAGGCACTAATTAATAGCCTACCAACCAAAAAAAGTCCAGGACCAGATGGATTCACAGCTGAATTCTACCAGAGGTACAAAGAGAAGCTGGTACCATTCCTTCTGAAACTATTCCAATCAATAGAAAAAGAGGGAATCCTCCCTAACTCATTTTATGAGGCCAGCATCATCCTGATACCAAAGCCTGGCAGAGACACAACAAAAACAGAGAATTTTAGACCAATATCCTGATGAACATCAATGCAAAAATCCTCAATAAAATACTGGCAAACCGAATCCAGCAGCACATCTAAAAGCTTATCCACCATGATCAAGTGGGCTTCATCCCTGGGATGCAAGACTGGTTCAACATACACAAATCAATAAACGTAATCCATCATACAAACAGAACCAAAGACAAAAACCACATGATTATCTCAATAGATGCAGAAAAGGCCTTCGACAAAATTCAACAGCCCGTCATGCTAAAAACTCTCAATAAATTAGGTACTGATGGGACATATCTCAAAATAATAAGAGCTATCTATGACAAACCCACAGCCAATATCATACTGAATGGGCAAAAACTGGAAGCCTTCCCTTTGAAAACTGGCACAAGACAGGGATGCCCTCTCTCACCACTCCTATTCAACATAGTGTTGGAAGTTCTGGCCAGGGCAATCAGGCAAGAGAAAGAAATAAAGGGTATTCAATTAGGAAAAGAGGATGTCAAATTGTCCCTGTTTGCAAATGACATGATTGTATATCTAGAAAACCCCATCATCTCAGCCCAAAATCTCCTTAAGCTGATAAGCAACTTCAGGAAAGTCTCAGGATACAAAATCAATGTGCAAAAATCACAAGCATTCCTATACACCAATAACAGACAAACAGTAAGCCAAATCATGAGAGAACTCCCATTCACAATTGCTTCAAAGAGAATAAAATACCTAGGAATCCAACTTACAAGGGATGTGAAGGACCTCTTCAAGGAGAACTACAAACCACTGCTCAACAAAATAAAAGAGGACACAAACAATGGAAGAACATTCCATGCTCATGGATAGGAAGAATGAATATTGTGAAAATGGCCATACTGCCCAAGGTAATTTATAGATTCAATGCCATCCCCATCAAGCTACCAATGACTTTCTTCACAGAATTGGAAAAAACTACTTTAAAGTTCATATGGAACCAAAAAAGAGCCTGCATTGCCAAGACAATCCTAAGCCAAAAGAACAAAGCTGGAGGCATCATGCTACCTGACTTCAAACTATACTACAAGGCTACAATAACCAAAACAGCATGGTACTGGTATCAAAACAGAGATATAGACCAATGGAACAGAACCCTCAGAAATAATACCACACATCTACAACCATCTGATCTTTGACAAACCTGACAAAAACAAGAAATGGGAAAAGGATTCCCTATTTAATAAATGGTGCTGGGAAAACTGGCTAGCCATATGTAGAAAGCTGAAACTGGATCCCTTCCTTACACCTTATACAAAAATTAATTCGAGATGGATGAAAGACTTACATGTTAGACCTAAAATCATAAAAACCCTAGAAGAAAACCTAGGCAATACCATTCAGGACATAGGCATGGGCAAGGACTTCATGACTAAAACACCAAAAGCAATGGCAACAAAAGCCAAAATTGACAAATGGGATCTAATTAAACTAAAGAGCTTCTGCACAGCAAAAGAAACTACCATCAGAGTGAACAGGCAACCTACAGAATGGGAGAAAATTTTTGCAATCTACTCATCTGACAAAGGGCTAATATCCAGAATCTACAAAGAACCTAAACAAATTTACAAGAAAAAATCAAACAACCCCATCAAAAAATGGGCAAAGGATATGAACAGACACTTCTCAAAAGACATTTATGCAGCCAACAGACACATGAAAAAATGCTCATCATCACTGGCCATCAGAGAAATGCAAATCAAAACCACAATGACATACCATCTCACACCAGTTAGAATGGCAATCATTAAAAAGTCAGGAAACAACAGGTGCTGGAGAGGATATGGAGAAATAGGAATGCTTTTACACTGTTGGTGGGACTGTAAACTAGTTCAACCATTGTGGAAGACAGTGTGGCGATTCCTCAAGGATCTAGAACTAGAAATACCATTTGACTCAGTCATCCCATTACTCGGCATATACCCAAAGGATTATAAATCATGCTGCTATAAAGACACAGGCACACGTATGTTTATTGCAGCACTATTCACAATAGCAAAGACTTGCAACCAACCTAAATGTCCATCAGTGATAGATCGGATTAAGAAAATGTGGCACATATACACCGTGGAATACTATGAAGCCATAAAAAAGGATGAGTTCATGTCCTTTGTAGGGACATGAATGAAGCTGGAAACCACCATTCTGAGCAAACTATCCCGAGGACAGAAAACCAAACACCGCATGTTCTCACTCATAGGTGGGAATGGACACAGGGTGGGGAACATCACACACTGGGGCCTGTCGTGCAGTAGGGGGAGCGGGGAGGGATAGCATTAGGAGTTATACGTAATGTAAATGATGAGTTAACGGGCGCAGCACACCAACATGGCACATGTATACATATGTAACAAACCTGCACGTTGTGCACATGTACCCTAGAACTTAAAGTATAATAATAATAATAAAAACAGTCCCTAGGTCCCCAGGGCAGAGACATAATGCCTCCAACCTCTTTGCTAACACATAACAAAACTGACTTTGCTCCAGTTCCCAGTAAGTTCCTCATCTCCATCTGAAAACTCCTCAGCCTGGCCTTCACTGTCCATATCACTATCAACATTTTGGTCACAACAATTTAACAAGTCTCTAAGACAGTCCAATTTTTCCCTCATCCTTCTATCTTCTTCTGAGCCCTCCACACTCGTCCAACCTCTGCCCATTACCCAGTTCCCAAGTCACTTTCACATTTTCAGGTATCTTTATAGCAATGCTTCACTCCTTGATACCAATTTTCTGTATTAGTCTGTTCTCGTACTGCTATAAAGAAATACCTGAGACTACATACTGTATAAAGAAAAGAGATTTAATATTTAATTAGCCCACAGTTCTGTAGGCTGTACAGGAAGCATCACAGCATCTGCTTCAGGAAACGTATGATCATGGCAGAAGGCCAAGGAGAAGCAGGCGCATATTACATGGCCAGAGCAAAAGGAACAGAGAGAGGGAGAAGATACCACACACCTTAAAAAAATCACATCTCAAGAGAACTTACTCACTCACAGGAGAAAAGCACCAAGCAGATGGTGCTGACCTATTCATGAGAACTCCGCTCCCATGATCCATCACCTACCACCAGGCTCCACCTCCAAAACTGGGGATTACAATTCGACGTGAGATTTGGTAGAGACATAGATCCAAATCCTATCAATATGCTTGAACACATGTTATGAATAGGAAGATAAGTATGGAAAGATATACACCAAGTGGGGTGTTAACATTATTACCTTAACTGATAAGATTTAAACAGATGTGTAGATATGTTTTTTAAAGTTTTTAAATCCTTATATATCTCCTAATGGTTCGCATATTGTATTAGTCTGTTCTCACATTGCTATAAAGAACTATCTGAGACTGGGTAATTTATTTAAAAAAGAGGTTTCATTGGTTCACAGTTCCACAGGCTGTACAGGAAGCATGGCAAGGGATGCCTCAGGAAACTTAGGATCATGGCGGAAGGCAAAGGGGAAGCAGGCACATCTTACCCGGTTGGAGCAGGAGGGAGAGAAGGTGGGAGAGGTACTACAAATTTAAACAACAAGATCTCATGAGAACGAACTCACTGTCACAAGAACAGCAAGGGGGAAGTCCGCCCCCATGGCCCATCACCTCCCACCAGGCCCCTCCTCCAACGTTAGGGATTACAATACAATTCGACATGAGATTTGAGTGGGGACACAAATCCAAACCGTATCACATATTAAAATAAGCAGGTGTTCTGAAAACATATCACATATTAAAACAAACAGGGGTTTTGAAAAATGGCTGGGTGTAGTGGCTCTGGCCTGTAATCCCAACACTTTGGGAGGCTGAGGCAGGCAGATCACTTGAGGCCAGGAGTTCAAGACCAGCCTGGCCAACATGGTGAAACCCCATCTCTCCTAAAAATACAAAAACTAGCCGGGTGTGGGGGCACACACCTGTAGTCCCAGCTACTCAGGAGACTGAGGTGGGAGGATTGCTTGAACCTGGAAGGCGGAGGCTGTAGTAAGCCAAGATCACACCACTGCCCCCCAGCCTCGGTGAGAGAGCGAGACTCTGTCTCAAAAAAAAGAAAAAAGGAAAACATTAAATATTTAAATAAGAAAGCACTATATTGCTCAATCAATATCAACTACTTCCTCAAGACTGTTAAAAAATACCAGATTGAATAAACTTGATATTCATCTAATTATGAAGCTAATTTAAAATAAATATTTAGGCCAGGTTCAGTAGGTCAAGCCTGTCATCCCAACGTTTTGGGAGATTGAAGCAGGAGGAATGCTTGAGCACAGGAGCTCAAGACCAGCCTGGGCAACATAGGGAGATCCTGTCTCTACAAAAAAATTAAAAATTAGCTGGGCATGGTGGCACATGCCTGCAGTCTCAGCTTCTCTGGAGGCTGAGGTGGGAGGATTGCTTGAGCCTAGGAGGTCAAGGATGCAGTCAGCCATGATCGTACTACTGCACTCCAGCCTGAGCAACAGAGCAAGACCATGCCTCAAAAAAAGAAAATAAATAAATAAATAGATTTTTAAAAAGTAGTATTTTCAGAGTCAAAGCTGGGAGGTACTTCAGCACACAATTCCTGCCTCATCCATATTACTACTACAATATGTAAAAACAGAAAAGATGTGTGGAAAAGAAATATTCATTACAAAACACTGAGGTTCTTATAAAACTCCAGCCAATATGAAAACCCTGGAAGTCCGGGATAAAGAGAAAATGCCTGGGCAGAGCATCCTCCCCAAGATCTTTACAAGTAAAGGCAGAAATAGGAGAATATATAAGAACTGTACCTAACCCTCAAAAAAACATGTAACTTCCGCTCCTGAGTCTCTCTGACCTTGATATAGAACCAAAGCCACAAGGGATTATGGGAAATAATCCTATTCACACTGACTCTGCAGCCAGTGACCTGGTTCCTCAGGCACAGGGAATGGCTAACTTGCCTTGTTCTAGCCAGTTCTATGCATGGAACAATTTCCAAACATTGTGGCACTAGTTCCCTTGTTTGTAACCCATCTATTTCAGAATCTAGAAGTAAAAAGGTGTATCACCTCCCAAATACAATAACCACCATTTCTTATTTAAAACTTAACATTTTAAAAGATAGACATGAAAAACAAAAATACAATAACCACCATTTCTTATTTAAAACTTAACATTTTAAAAGATAGACATGAAAAACAAAAATACAATAACCACCATTTCTTATTTAAAACTTAACATTTTAAATGATAGAAATGAAAAAACAAAAGATAGGAATAGTATATAATCCCACTGCCCTGTATATATATGTATGCATGTATATGTGTATGTGTATTAGCATGGTTACAATAATTAATTTGCATATTCAGCTATATTTTTACATTTGTCAAATATTTGGACATAAAGATGGACCGTGACATCTCTCAGCCAACTGACCACAGTTGACTCAGCTGTTCTGACTGGCTAGCAAGATGTTTGTGAAGGAGGGGGAGGAAAAAAAACAACTCTAACAAAGCTGAATATTCTGTCTGTGCAGACAGATCTAGCTTTTTAAAACAGAATCCTCAGGACTAACTTTAAAAAGTATTTTTCAGGGCCAGTATGGCCCTCTGAGAATTATGAAAAAGGGTATTTGAGACCTTATGAACACCCTTTTCTTGGAAGGAAAAGGCTAAAATCAGAAATAAGGTAAAAAAGGCTAAAATCAGGGACAAGATTTAACAAAACAGCTATGAGGATGTAAACAAAAAAGTATCTGAGACAGATCTCAATCAATTTAGAGGTTACTTTTGCCAAGGTTAAGGACCCATGGCTTGTGACACAGCCTCAGGAGGTCCTGAGAACATGTGCCCAAGGTTTTTGGGTTACAGACTGGTTTTATACATTTTAAGGCAAAGACAAAAGTTGATACATGTTAAGTATACATTGGTTTGGCGTGGAAAGGGGGCACACTGATACAGGAGTTAAGAAGAACTCACTTAGGCAGATAATAAGGGTACAGAAGTCCTTGGTAAGGTTTTCCTTTTAATAAGAAGCAGCCCCAAATCATTTTCTAACAAAGAGCAGCCTGTAAAATCAAGCTGCAGACATACATGCTGGCAGGTGTGCCAATCATGTTCAAAATAGTGGCTCCATCTTCCCTTCTCTGTCAGCCATGTGTATAGTAAGGAGCAGACAAGATGGCATCAGCCAAGGGGAAAGTTCCATTTGCATTAAAAAGATTAGGGTGGGGTGGCCAGCCTTCCCTGAGTACTATGTAAAGCTCACACCTGATTGAACCAATTTGTGAGCCCTATGTAAATCAGACACTGCCTCCTTAAGACTATAAAATCCGGCACATCCGCCGCCAGTCCACCTTTTGCTCTCAGAATTCCCCTCTCACACTAGAGAGAGAGCTGTTTTCCTTTCTTTTTGTTTCTCTTTCTCTTGCCTATTAAACCTCCATTCCTAAACTCCTCGTATGTGTCCGTGTCCTAAATTTTTCTGGCACGAGATGACAGACGCTGGGTATTTACCCCAGACAACATAGCCAATCATGTCAGGGTGCTCACTCAGGATACCAAGGTACAACGCTCATCAAAACGGTGAGTAGAGGAGTGGAATCCAACTCTGTCCTTTCATTTTGGGGCTGTTGGCCTCCACTTTAGAACTAAATCAAATCAATAATGGGCATCTGTCAGCCAGTTAAAAACACGGTTAGCGTGGCTGCCATTCTTAAAGACTCAGATGTGAGATTTACTGGGAAGAAAATGGAGAATCCCCCAGCACCCATGGGTTGCTGGGCATGTTGGCCATGTTTGAACCAGCTTCCTTTCATGGAGGACTTAGCCATTGTGCGGGGCTGTAAGAGGTTCTAGAGCAACTGAGGATTTCTGGCTGGGGCTACCTTCAGGTGTTATCCAAAGGCTTCTGGACTGATCCCAGTCTCTGACCACCTGATGGGGTGTTGGCAACAGGATCTCCAACTTTTCTATCATAATTTCCTCCTTTCCTGTCTGCGACTGTCATATCTCCTATTCTCTCTGTGTATGCTATGTGAGCGAAGTTTTACAGTTCAGTTATTTTGTTTGGCAAGATCAGGAAACGTTGTAGGGGATATAGCTCAAGGGAAGGCGTCTTTGAGATTTTCTAGAAACAGAAGGCTCCCCCCGACAGTGAGCATCACTCTCTGCCCTTGGTCTGAAGAGTATATAGCATTTGCAGGTCTCTCCCTGCCCTTGGTCTGGAGAGCAAACGGAACTTCCAGGTCACTCTGCCCTTGGTCTGGAGAGCACGTGGCATTTCCAGGTCTCTCTCTGACCTAGGACTGGAGAGCACATGGCGTGTCAAGGTCACTCTGCCCTTGGTCTGGAAAGCACATGGCATTTCAAGGTCAACAGCACCATCTAGTGAAACAGGGATCCTCTTCATGAGGCACATTGTCAGTCCTTTACCAAAAACAGCCTAGCTTCCCAATTCTCTTCCCTTTTTGAGCCTCTCTACTACAAACCAGGCTTCATGCTGCTTCTGTAAATGGGAAAATTCTGGCTTCAACAACTAGGAATAAAACATCCTCCAAAACCAAATTTTATTCTTGATACTGCTCCATCAACAGGAAAACAGCCATTTAGTCCCTACAATCTTTTTTTTTTTTTTTTTTTTTTGAGACGGAGTCTTGCTCTGTCACCCAGGCTGGAGTGCAATTGTGCAGTCTCGGCTCAATGCAACCTCCACCTCCTGGGTTCAAGAGATTCTCCTGCCTCAGCCTCCTGAGTAGCTGGGATTACAGGCACAGGTGGATTACATGCCACCATGCCCAGCTAATTTTTGTATTTTTAGTAGAGACGGGGTTTCACCATGTTGGTCAGGCTGGTCTCGAACTCCTGACCTCATGATCCACCTGTCTCGGCCTACCAAAGTGCTGGGATTACAGGCATGAGCCACCACACTCAGCCCCTATGATCTTTTAAGGCACCTATTCTGCCTCCAATCAGAATGGTACTTAATTAGTAAGGGGATTTTAAGTTCAGAAGTTAACCAGAACCATTCTCTAAGGGTAAACACTTTAGCATGGACTGTAATAGCAGGATATAGAGCTCAAACCAGCACACTTCCTCCATTAAGGAGGGAAGTGCAACAATTGCCCAAATGCAACTGTCGCATAGTCTCTCCCAAGATCCATTTTTCAGGGAGCCAGGCAGGTCACACAAGTCTAGGAAGTCAAAGGAAATCACAGGCAGAGGACTTGAGTTGCATGAATCAGTGTGACTAATCCCAATCACTTAGTTCCTCTGGTTCCATGGCTGGGGGTCACACCTGCAACCATGGGTGGCACATTAAACAAGGTGCCAGGACCCAGAAACCGCAGAGGGAAAACAGCAGGAGGGACGTCCCCACTGTTTTCCTCTCCACCCTGGGTCACACCAAAAGGAAGGTGAAAAAAGAGATGCCTTTTTGTCACTTCTCTCTCTAGATGGGTAACAGATCATCTTCAGCTTGCACCCCTCTGGAGTACATTCTGAAGCACAAGGACTCCTTTGACTCTAATAATTTAAAGAAAAATCAACTCATTTTCTTTTGCACAAGGGCATGGCCTTACTAGACCTTTGCAGGTGTTACAAAATCAACCCAGCTCTTTTAGTAGTCATATCAGGCAGGCCAATAGCAAATGATTCACCAAAGTTAGAGAAGTAACTTCCAGGGGAACAATCTAAGGATCCCCCTTATTCAGGGGCCCCTCAAGTTCCCTTCTCATTACAGTACCTTAGGCAAATAAAGGGAGACTTAGGCCAATTCTCCAATGACCCTGATAGGTATATAGAAGCTTTCTGAAATTTAACTCAGGTGTTTAACCTCTCATGAAGGGATGTTATGCTGCTTCTAAGCCAAACCCCAAACTACAGCTGAAAAACAGGCAGTTCTGCAGAAGGCAGAGAATTTTGGAAATGTACAATATGTCTCCTATAATAAGCAAAAAGGGAAAAGAGAAAATAGAGAAGATCAAGAAATAGAGGAAACATCATTGTCGATAGGAAGGGAAGCAATACCTCTTAACAACTCTAACTGGAACCCCCAGACTTTTCTATGGTATTTTTCCTTCTTTTACAGCTTAAAATGGCTCCTATATGCTTTTATAATGTTCTTTCAACCTGGGAAAAGTTAATTTTCCAAACCTTAAAAATGCTTGGCTTAGAGTTGAGCTGGGGAAAAGGAACTAGAAGCCTGACATGTGGGCAAAAGGGTAAAATTTTCTTACCAGTCAGGCTTTTGGCTTCTCTCTCCCTATCCAAACTGGCAAAAGGGATAAGGATTATTGTTTATATTTGTGGTTAAGTTTTAATTAATGAAAAGGGATTTGTGAGGTTGGTCTTAAACTGTAGCCAATCTGGTGTGCTTCGTGTATCTTTCTGTATGGTCCTGTGGAAAGAAAGGGTACCTTAGGTTAAGATGCAGACCCAGGACCCTATAAGCCTGCTGTTCAAGCCAGTCCAACAAAATGGTCAGTAACAAACTTGGCTACAGGCCTCCATCTTGTTTCATGTACTTGGAAACATGACGTGTAACCACGTGGCAATACTTTGTTTTAGTCTCTGCCATTTTACAACGGTGGGTGTCTTGTGCTAAGTTAGTTCCCGGGGAAGGGCCAAAAATCAGATAAGCCAGTTTATCAATCTAGGCAGAGCCAGCTGATCCATCAAGGGCAGAGTTTACAAAATATCTTAAATACTGATCTTGGGCAGTTAAGGGAGGATAAAATCTTGTAGCCTCCAGCTGCGTGACTCCTAAGCCATGGTTTCTCATTTTGTGGCTAGTTTCTTGGTCTGGTCCCCAGGCAAGAGGGAAGTATATCTTAGGAAGGGGCTGTTACCACCTTTGTTTTAGACTATACACTGTAAACCAGACACCTCCCAAAGTTGGTTCAGCCTATGCCCAGTGATGAGCAAGGACAGCTTAGGGGCTAAAAACAAAATGGAGTTGGTTGGGTCTGATCTCTTTCACTGTCTCAGTCACAATTTTGCAATGAGAGTTTCAAAAGTTACTTATCACCCCTTTGAAAATACCTGATACCTGGCAGGGCACGGTGGCTCACGCTTGTAATCCCTGCACTTTGGGAGGCAGAGATCACCTGAGGTCAGGAGTTTGAGACCAGCCTGACCAACATGGTGAAACCCCATCTGTACTAAAACTACAAAAATTAGCTGGGTGTGGTGGCTGGCACCTGTAATCCCAGGTATTTGGGAGGCTGAGGCAGGAGAATCATTGGAACCCGGGAGATGGGAGTTGCGGTGAGCTGAGATGGCGCCACTGCACTCCAGCCTGGGCGACAGAGCGAGACTCTGTCTCAAAAAAAAAGAAAAAAGAAAATACCTTGTACACTGGAGGTTAAGTCATAAACTAATTAAGGCTTGTTGGTCTCACCTGTGAGGTTACTTTTTGTGACATTCAAAAGCTGAAAATCTTAACTGCTTGGTGTGGCTAAAGTTTAGTAACAAGGGATTTAAAAGGATTTTCTGAAAGAGTGCTCAGCTTAATTAAAAGTGGATATCCCAGTTATAGATATACTTAAAAGGCTATTATGTTTTTCTCTTCTTGGATCATGTTTTTCTGGAAAAAGTCTTTTTTCTTTTTAGTCGACTGAATTATTTTTCTCCATTTTTTGTCTTGCCACTCTTAATGCACATATGACAGGCCCTAAGATAACTTCCGGTAGCCGGGGACTCCTTGGGAAAAACAGAGGAGGCACTACAGACCCTGTTTTGGGGGAGGGGGGGAAGAAAAAAAAACTGTTTTCCTCATGAAACCCCAGGAATTAAAAGCAGATCATTCCCTCTCAAAATCAAAGGCTCAGTTCTGTTTTGCATTGTGTTATCTGATAGTTTTGAGTTTTGGGGATATCAAATTACTTCACATTATGAGAGAGCTTTGGTGTGTAATAACTAGGTAGGAGATATACTTTAAGGAATGGCTAATAGTAGTTATGGAGGGATACTTAACTCTGCACATTTGAGTCAGAGAAGCATGCTCTTGGCCACCTATAAGATATGGAAACATCCCCACCCCCTATTGAGAGATAAGACTCCCATGAGGGATGGGCCGATTACAAAATAAGCCAATTGGCTTTGGGTTGCCTTGAAATGAAATGCACAGTAGAAGCACTGCACTCTCTTCTTCCACAGTATCTCCCACCTTTGGGGGATCCAAGATCCAGTATAAAATGGCGCCGTTAATTTTGCGGATCTTTCTTTGCCTTCAGCTGTGCCTGCTTCTTAGGCCCTAAAAGGCATGCTATCCTGGCCCTGTTCCTCCAAGGGCTCCATCCTGAAACGAGTAATCCAATTAAGAAACTGGCAGGTCGGGCATGGTGGCTCACGTCTGTAATCTCAGCACTTTGGGAGGCCGAGGTGGGCGGATCACCTGAGGTTGGGAGCTCAAGACCATCCTGACCAACATGGAAAAACCCCATCTCTACTAAAAATATAAAAAATTATCCGGGTGTGGTGGTGCATGCTTGTAATCCCAGCTACTCAGGAGGCTGAGGCAGGAGAATCGCTTGAACCTGGGAGGCGGAGGTTGCGGTGAGCCGGGATCACGCCTTTGCACTCCAGCCTGGACAACAAGAGTGAAACTCTGTCTCAAAAAACAGAAAAAAAGAAACTGGCAAATGAAAAATGTTACAAGTGCTGAATCTTCTATTTGTGTTGCTATATGTGTGTTGTGTGTAATGTCTATAAAAAGAGCTCTAATTGGGTTAAAGAAAAATAAGCACTTAAATATTTTTTAGTTCACATGACTGTAATCTTTAAGAAATAAAAATAGTCTGAAGAATTGGTAAAATGCAAGTGTCGTCAAAATGCAAATAGGTGGTCTAAATCATACAGCTTAGATACTAGGTTTGCTAAATGTTCCAAATTGCCTGCTTTACAGATAGGTAAGGCCTGGGACACGTGAAAGTTAGATGCTGAAGAGGGTCAGACCTTATCTGCACTTCTGTCTGGGTCCTAGGCTCCACACCTGGTACATAATTAAAAACACTTACTAAACAGGTTTTTCACCAAAAGTAAAAGTTGCTAAGAGTTAACAGTGCCACATGTATTTGAGGTCACTAAACAGTTTTACATGCAAGGCGTATAAAAACAGTAAAATGCGTTTTTTAGTAAAAGATTATAAGAATGCATGGAAATGTAAATTTTGCCCAGGTATGAGGGATTATCTTAAATTTGATAAGATAAAGCTAGAGGTTTAAGCAAGTTACAGAAAGATTGTAAAAATTAATCTTGCAAACAATGTGTAAACATTAAATCCAAAAGGGCATTATACGGTCTTCTCATAAATTGAGTATTGAAATAAAAGTATAGCAAGGTTGTCTAAAGATGCTAATCTGCCCTTTAGTAAAAAGGGTTATAAAAGGTTTGTAAAGATTGCACCTCATGGTCAAATTGGTTAAAATTAGATGGAATCATCTATAAGGTTTCATTTCAACAAACTGGGGCTAACATTAATTAACTAATGCAAGGGTAAATTTTGACTTTGAATAGGATTTTCATGTAATAGTAAAGGTTAATAGAAGGTTTTTGCCTTTTGAGTCATTTTGGCAAAATAAGCAATTTATGGCGATCTGAAATTCTATTTCATAACATCAAGTATTTTAAACCTCTGACATTTAACAGGTGTCCCAAAATCAAACTTCAAGTTTCAAAATTGTCTTTCCTGATGCCTGGCTTTCTGGATGGTTCAGAGGCCCCTGAAAAATCCAGAGAAGAGGTACACAGTATTATTTGGCATGTTTTGTCACATAAGATTGCCAAAATGATGTCCGATATTCTTTAAGTTATATTTTGGTGAATACTAATATATGTTCCAAAATTGCATGTGACTTCTAAAATTCTAATGTCTAAGTATATGCTATCAATTATAATTAAGGTTAAAGTTATTGTAAATCACAGAGATAACTAAACTTATTTGTCAGTCTTGCTTTTAACTATAACTACCTTGGAAATTTTGTCATTCGCAGACAATTGTTGTCTTGCTTTGTTCTTTCTCAAAAGATGGTTTATAATCAAGCTACAGGACTTTAACAGGTGTTCTCAAATGTGAGTTTTTTTAATAGCTTTAAAGATTGTAACACGGAATAAAGAAAAAAAGTACAGGACTATGAAGAACTAAAATGCTCATGTATATCAAGCAAAATAAGAGTTAACTAAATGGACTGCACTCACAAAGCTAAAGCAAACTTTCTGACTTTTGCTTGGAATATTGCTGATCCTTGTTTTGTTTTTCAGAGTCAATGAAACTTATTTTGAACTACTTATGGCCTTTAATAATTGAGTAAGTTATACTCTTGTGAACAAAATTTGGAGTATGTTTGTTTCTCTCTGCCTAGTTCCTCTAGAATTTGGAAACTATTTAAGGAGTCAATCTAGACTTGCAGAGCCAATAAAAGCCCCATGAGAAGAACTGGCCTCATACCCTTACCTACACAGTCCCCGTCCAGGGTTTCTGACCTGTAGTCAGTAAAGAATGCCACTTTCTAACAGATCCAGGAGCTCCAAGTTTATCTTGGGACCTTAAGAGGAGGGGATCACCCAACTCACAGGTATTTGAGGATATAAACCCATGGCTGGGTTCAGCTCTAAGAGGTTTTATCTAAAATTCCTTGTGGATCAGAGTTCCATCAAAGCCAATTCAAAAGGCCTATGTAGAAATCATTCTTTCTGCACCTTATGCAAATAATCAGGCCAAGTATAAGACTAAAGTTTATTATACAAACAACACAATCCTATCATAATTTGTTTTTACCTAAAATAAAGACTGGAGAGAGAAAAATTATGCTCCAAAGCTTATCATCCATTTGTCACTAAATTCTAGTCTCAATGATTGTTTTTAAGTTTTTTTGACTACATTTTAGACTAATCCCGCTTATTCCTGTGAATCAAGTGGTGATCTCCTGAAGCCTGGAAGAAACAGAAAGGAATGGGCAATGTAAAAAGCTGGATCAATATGCTAGTTCTGGGCAATTATCCTGCAACATCTGCCAGGTAATGAAAGTGAATAGGGTGCCCATAACCCAGATGTTTCTGTTTGGGAAAATAAAACCAAGAAACTTCATAGATCCCCAAAGGGAGATTCTATATCTTGGCAAGTAAAATTTTACATGGAAATTATCTACTGTACCACACTTGCAGGAATTGCTATACTCACTTTACTATTTGCAGTAAGACCTATAGATGGTAGCACCTTCTAACCGGAATATCGGACAGAGAATTTCCATTGCTGTAGTATTTTGCTTAATTATTATCCTAATAGCAGAGATAATGGTTCCCAACGAAAAGGAAGCATGATAGTTTTACTATCACTGAGTCTGCAAGAACTTCTTATTGGGTTTGGTAATATGTCACACCCTGGCTATACAAAGAAGGTTATAAAGGGAAGAAATTTTTATATAAGGAAGCATCTCGTGGCCGGGCGCGGTGTTCCTTTCTCTGCCAGCCACATGTACAGTAAGGAGCAGACAAGATGGCACCAGACAAGGGGAAAGTTCATTTGCATAATAAGATTAGGGTGAGGTGGCCAGCCTTCCCCATGTGCTATGTAAACATCATACTTGATTGAACCAATCTGTGAGCCCTATGTAAATCAGACACCGCCTTCTCAAGACTGACTATAAAATCTGACACATCTGCCACCAGTCAGCTTTTTCCTCTTGGAAGTCCCCTCTCTCTCACTAGAGAGAGAACTGTTTTCCTTTCTCTTTGTTTCTCTTTCTTTTGCCTATTAAATTCTGCTCCTAAACTCCTCATGTGTATCTGTGTCCTAAATTTTCCTGGTGCAAGATGACAAACCCCAGGTATTTACCGCAGACAACACAGATTCTTCAACATCTCAAAGTGGGACAGCGGGTGGGAGGACCTTCCAGGTCATAAGTGGATTGAAAGATTTCCTGGTTGCCAAATGGTTGGAAGTTAAGCCCTGCCTGAAGAGTTGAATTCAGCATAAAGAAAATGCTTGAGTTTAGATAAGGGAGCCGTGAAAGCCAAGATTTTCATCATGTAGATGAAACCTCCAGGTAGCAGGCTTCAGAGAGAATAGGTGGTGAATGTCTCTTATCAGACCTTAAGAGATGTCAGATCTAGTAGGGTCTACACCTAGTAGGGTGCTATGAAGAGTCATGTTTTGTCAGTCTTAACATCTCTGTTTTAATGTTAATGCTGGTCAGTTGTGTCTAAACTCCAAAGGGAACACTGTATGATGAGGCATATCAGATGCCCCTTCTCCTTATGCCCTGAAGTAGTTTTTCAGGTTTCTTTGGGTTTCCCTTGGCCAAGGGGGGAGGTCCATTCAGCCAGCTGGAGGGCTTAGAGTTTTATTTTACTGTGTTGTTTTTTTTTTTTCTTTTTTCTTTTTTTGAGGTAGAGTCTCGCTCTGTCGCCCAGGCTGGACTGCAGTGGCATGATCTCGGCTCACTGCAGTCTCTACATCTAGAGCTCAAGAAATCCTCCCTCCTCAGCCTCCCAAGTATCTGGGAATACAGACATGTGCCACCATTTTTTTTTTTTTTGTATTTTAATAGAGATGGGGTTTCATCATGTTAGGCCAGACTGGTCTCGAACTCCTGGCCTCAAGTGATCCGCCCACCTCGGCCTCCCAAAGTGCTGGGATTACAGGCATGAGCCAGCATGCCCAGCCTAGAATTTTATTTTCGGATTATAGAGAGTTCTTTTAACAGCTGCAAACTAGCGGGATTTGAGAAAAGCTGTAGCAAGAGCCCAGAGTGAAGCTCGGGGTTGGAAGAACATTCTTGCTAAATAAATCAGGGGGATTCTCTTTGGATGCAATGAGGTGCAGCACCCAGAGAACAACTTGGCAGAATTTGAGAACTGTCCTGCAAGACATAGGACATAGTAGTTGGTTGTACTAGTGGCAGACCATTTTCTAGTGTACCAAAGGAAGCTACACAGAGCTGACATATACTCTAGGAGGAAGCAGGACTATTCTAGTGCAAGGCAACAATGTGGCCACACCAGATCTTAACTTGACATAGCATCTTAGCCAACTACAAATAATATCCTCCACAAAGAGAAGTTTCTCTAAAAGGGTGATTTGTAGCCAGGACTTCCTCCTCACTGTCCTGAGGCACTTAACTGGCAATCTGAGCCCTTTTTGTTAAAATCCAAGAGGAGCCTTCTTGCTATAACAAAAGTACCTTAGGAAAAGTAAATAAATAAAATCTAAGAGGAGGCTTCTAATAGGAAACAGAAAGTGAGATCATCTAAGAATACTCAATATGTTTGAGGTGGGAGGAAGGGAACCCCCATACGAATGAATATCTCATTATTCTTGGGAGGAAAAAATATTTTATTGTTTTGAAGACCAAGAAAAAAGATTATAAAACAATGTAAGAACATAGGACTCAAAGGTAAAGAAACATTTTTAAAATTTTGTGCTCTCTCCCTCTCCCCTTTCTTTCTTTCTTTTCTTTCTTTCTTTCTCCTCTCTCTCTCTCTCTCTCCCCCCCCCCCCCCGCTTCTTTCTCTTTCTTTCTCCTTCCTTCCTTCCTTCCTTCCTTTCTTTCTTTCTTTCTTTCGTCTCCCTCTCTCCCCTTTCTTTCTTTCTTTCTTTCTTCAGTCTCCCTCTGTTGTCGAGGCTGGACTGTACTGCGGTGGTCTTGGCTCCCTGTAGCCTCCCTGCCCCGGGCTCCCGTGGTTCTCCTGCCTCAGCCTGCCGAGTGCCTGGGATTGCAGGCGTGCGCTGCCACGCCTGACTGGTTTTTGTATGTTTGGAGGAGACGGGGTTTCGCCCTGTTGACCGGGCTGGTCTCCCACTCCTGACCTCGAGTGATCTGCCCGCCTCGGCCTCCCGGGGTGCTGGGATTGCAGACGGAGTCTCGCTCACTCAATGCTCAGTGTTGCCCAGGCTGGAGTGCAGTGGCTTGATCTCGGCTCGCCACAACCTCCACCTTCCAGCCGCCTGCCTTGGCCTCCCAAAGTGCTAAGATTACAGCCTCTGCCCGGCCACCACCCCGTCTGGGAAGTGGGCAGCGTCTCTGCCTGGCCGCCCATCGTCTGGGATGTGGGGAGGCCCTCTGCCCAGCCGCCCCGTCTGGGAAGTGAGGAGCGCCTCTGCCCGGCCGCCCTGTCTGGGAAGTGAGGGGCGCCTCTGCCTGGCCGCCACCCTGTCTGCGAAGTGAGGAGTGTCTCTGCCTGGCTGCCCATCGTCTGGGATGTGAGGAGTGCCTCTGCTCGGCCGCCCATCGTCTGGGATGTGAGGAGCGCCTCTGCCTGACCGCCACGTCCGGGAAGTGAGGAGCGCCTCTGCCTGGCTGCCCCGTCTGGGAGGTGAGGAGCGCCTCTGCCCCGCCGCCCCGTCTGGGTGGTGAGGAGCACCTATGCCCTGCCGCCACCCCGTCTTGGAGGCGAGGAGCGTCTCTGCCCGGCCACCACCCCGTCTGGGAGGCAAGGAGCGCCTCTGCCCGGCCGCCCCGTCTGGGAGGCGAGGAGCGCCTCTGCCCGGCCGCCCATCGTCTGGGATGTGAGGAGCGCCTCTGCCTGGCCGCCCATCGTCTGGGATGTGAGGAGCGCCTCTGCCCGGCTGCCCCGTCTGGGAAGTGAGGAGCGCCTCTGCCCAGCTGCCCCGTCTGGGAAGTGAGGAGCGCCTCTGCCCGGCCGCCCATCGTCTGGGATGTGAGGAGTGCCTCTGCCCGGCCGCCCCGTCTGGGAGGTGAGGAGCGCCTCTGCCCAGCCGCCCTGCCTGGGAGGTGAGGGGCGCCTCTGCCTGGCCGCCCTTCATCTGGGAGGTTGGGGGAGCCTCTGCCCGGCCGCCCCGTCTGGGAGGTGAGGAGCGCCTCTGCCCGGCCGCCCTGCCTGGGAGGTGAGGGGCTCCTCTGCCCGGCCGCCCTTCATCTGGGAGGTTGGGGGAGCCTCTGCCCGGCCGCCCCGTCTGGGAGGTGAGGAGCGCCTCTGCCCGGCCGCCCCGCCTGGGAGGTGAGGGGCGCCTCTGCCCGGCTGCCCCGCCTGGGAGGTGAGGGGCGCCTCTGCCCGGCCACCCCGCCTGGGAGGTGAGGGGCTCCTCTGCCCGGCCGCCCTTCGTCTGGGAGGTGGGGAGCGCCTCTGCCCGACCGCCCATCGTCTGGGAGGTGAGGAGCACCTCTGCCCGGCCGCCCCATCTGGGAGGTGGGGAGCGCCTCTGCCCGGCCACCCCGTCTGGGAGGTGAGGAGCACCTCTGCCAGGCCGCCCCGTCTGGGAGGTGAGGAGCGCCTCTGCCCGGCCGCCCCATCTGGGAAGTGAGGAGCGCCTCTGCCAGGCCGCCCCATCTGGGAAGTGTACCCAACAGCTCTGAAGAGACAGCGACCATCAAGAACGGGCCATGATGACGATGGCGGTTTTGTCGAAAAGAAAAGGGGGAAATGTGGGGAAAAGAAAGAGAGATCAGATTGTTACTGTGTCTGTGTAGAAAGAAGTAGACATAGGAGACTCCATTTTGTTCTGTACTAAGAAAAATTATTCTGCCTTGGGATGCTGTTAATCTATAACCTTACCCCCAACCCAGTGCTCTCTGAAACATGTGCTGTGTCAACTCAGAGTTAAATGGATTAAGGGCGGTGCAAGATGTGCTTTGTTAAACAGATGCTTGAAGGCAGCATGCTCGTTAAGAGTCATCACCACTCCCTAATCTCAAGTACCCAGGGACACAAACACTACAGAAGGCCACAGGGACCTCTGCCTAGGAAAACCAGAGACCTTTGTTCACGTGTTTATCTGCTGACCTTCTCTCCACTATTACCCTATGACCCTGCCACATCCCCCTCTCTGAGAAACACCCAAGAATGATCAATAAATACTAAAAAAAATAAAAATAAAAATAAATAAAAATAAAATAAAATAAAATTTTGTGTTAAAAAAATAAATTTTAATCAGCATTGGTTTCACAGTTTCTAAATTTTAAAAAGGGGGGGTCACAGAAGCAAAAGATGAAAAGCAGAAGACTGAGGAAGACTGCTGAGAGGCAGATAAAAATCAAAAGGAAGCTCAATGAGAAAGAATATTAAGTTAAACATGAGAAAAAGTATAAAAATGCACTAGAAGCAGCAATAGAGGAGTCAACTTTCAAGAAAACTGATGGTTTTATAATTTTTAAAGGTGAGAAGTAGGAAGATATAAAGAGCTCTAACACACAGATATTGGAGTTACTGAAGATGATATAGGAACAAATGTAAAAGAAGTAGTATTCAAAAATAAAGTCCAGTAGGGCTGGTAATCCTATAATCACTCCACAGCTTCTTCCTGCCCACTGCACAAACAAAACCAGTTCACCAAGACCATGGCACTGCAGTAAAGAGTTTAACTGATGCAGGTCCAGCCATCCACACAGGAGATGGAGTTATTACTCAAATCAATCTCTCCAAAGACTCAGAATTTAGGGTTTTTCAAGGATAGTTTGGTGGGCAGATCTATCTTAATTTTTATTTTTTATGTATTTATTTATTTGTTTTTTTGAGACAGAGTCTCTGTCACCCACGCTGAAGTGCAGTGGCTGATCTGGCCTCACTGCAACCTCCACCTCCTGGGTTCAAGCAATTCTACTGCCTCAGCCTCCCGAGTAGCTGGAACTACAGGCCCGCACCACCATGCCAGGCTAATTTTTATATTTTTAGTAAAGACAGGGTTTCACCATGTTGGCCAGGCTGGTCTCAAACTCCTGACCTCGAGTGGTCCACCCACTCCGGCCTCCCAAAGTGCCGGTATTACAGGCATGAGCCACCGCACCTGGCCAGATCGATCTTCATTGATATAAAAAGTTGTCCAGGCCAGGAATGGTGGCTCATGCCTATAATTAGTACCGTATAGGTACTAATATTATCTCCATTTTATAGGTGAGAAACATGAGAAATAGATTAAATAAATTTCAGGTCATATCTCAGTTACTATATGTCAATAAAACACAGCTTCTAGATCACTGAGACACAGCAATACCAAAAGACATTCAGTGAATTTTTTTTAGAAAACAGAATCCAACAACTTGCTCTAAGAGACTTGCTTAAAATCATGAAACATAGAAAAACAAAGATAAAGGATTTTAAAATTAGTTACATCTGTGAAATAAGAAAAATAAGGGTCCCTATCAAGGCACTAGAGAAAATTTTTTGAATGAAAATAAAAGAGAAAAACTCAGGACACTAATATGGAAAGAAATGCCATTGTTTTGTTTTTGTTTTTTTGTTTGTTTTTTGAAACAGCGTCTCATTCTGTTGCCCAGGCTGGAGTGCAGAGGTGTGATCAAGCCTCAGTGTAGCCTTCACTTCCCAGGCTCAAGTGATCCTCCCATCTCAGTCAGCCTCCTGAGTACCTGGGACTACAGGTACCTGCTGAAACAGATCCAGCATTTTTTTTTTTTTTTTAAAGACAGGGTCTCACTGTGTTTACTAGGCTGGTCTGGAACTCCTGGGTTCAAGCAATCCCACCTTGGCTTCCCAGAGTGCTGGGATTACAGGCGTAAACCACTCTGCCTGGCCAAAACTCTGTATCTTTTTCCCCTAACGCTGGTCACCCACTTAATTGATTTCAGAACTAATGAACAAAAGCAAAAACAAAAACAAACACTGCTACAATTTTAAAAAACACTGTTGTAGAGTATGTAATTTACAATTTACAGATTAAAACTCAGAAAGGCTAAGTACCCCAAGTCTGACTTAATTAAACAATGCAGTATAAAATTGAAACAGATTCAAAAGCCCATAATTTTTGAAGTCCACAGCCCTCTCCCTGCAGTACTGATACCAAATTCACACCGACTGAAATAGCTAATGCTCCAATTTATGCTCACATGAAGCAAGTAAAAAAAAAAGAATAAATTGTATTAAAATCTGATGGTATGGATAGAATAATAAGCAAAACTAAACTTGCAAAGCAGCCATATATCTTTAGTTTCATTCATTCACAAACATTTCTCAAAAGTCTTAGATATCACTGCTAGGCTTCCACTTTACTTCATAGCGACTTATCACAACTTAAAAAGAATACAGATGAAATATATATAAATATGCTACCCTGTCCTTGAAAAAAAAATTAATTTCTCCAAAAATCAATAAAATTTACTCTCTATAAGGTCTCTCTCAAACCAAAAGACAAACAAGTACTTACGTCAAACCTCAACTAACAAAACCAATGACTAATTATAAAGTAAACACAGTTAAGGTTATAATTGAGCATGTACAAGTGTTCAAGTGTATCTTTCTAAATGTTTTCTAAATAAATAAACCTCAGTTGGAATAGAGTTTACATTAATACACAATCAGATTTCTATGGTTACTGTTTATCAGAAATAACCCAAGTTTGATTATACACACACAGGACAAGGTCATTCTAGCCATCCATCTACCTAATTCCTACATTAGGCAACTGACTCTTACAGTCTAAAGTGAACTGTAAAGAAAAATTAGGATGTTACCCAATTAACTGAACTTAATGCTTTAACTTTACCTAAAACTAAAACCACTAAAGTATCATCTCTCTCTATTTTTTTGTCTTTTTTGAAACAGAGTCTTACTCTGTCACCCAGGCTGGGCTAGGGCACAGTGGTGTGATCATGGCTCACTGCAGCCTCAATCTCCCAGGCTCAAGTGATCCTCCCACCTCAGCCTTCCAAAAAGCTGGGACTGCAGGCATGCACCACCACACCCAGCTAATTTTTATATTTTTTGTAGAGATAGGGTTTTGTCACGTTGCCCAGGCTGGTCTCAAAATCCTGTGCTCAAGCTATGCACATGCCTCAGCCTTCCAAAGTGCTGGGATTACAGGAGCGAGCCACTGCACCTGGCCAGAAGATGATTCTTAGTGAAGTTAAGAAACTTACTTATAGATACAGTTTTAGTCACTACCTAGCGAGATTCAAGAGTTCTCTAGAATCCCAAATTTTCCATTATACCACACTCCCTCCCAAGAAAAAAAGGGATTTTATTAAACTCCTTTTATTTTTTATGAAAATATTAAACTAGAGCCATAATGAACTCTCCAGTCTATGAAACACCTGCTATAATGCTGTCCACGAATATATCCTAAGCAAACAGAAACCACAGCTATAGTGAGACTCTGATTCACAGCCAACAATGCATAACAGCCATCTTTCCCTAAATACTTTTATTAAAAATAGATTTTATTCATGTTCCAAAGCACTACCCTGTATAATTAATTTGGTATTGTATTGTATAGTTAAGAGTAAAGCAAAAAAAGTAAATTCAGCTTTTCAGTATGGAAAAGGACAAACTTCAGTAGGCCAGTGCCCTCATTTGTAAAATGAGGATAACAAGGTTATTACAAGAATTAAATGATTAACCCTTACCTACTTATTGGCAAAGAGTAAAGACTCATTAAATGTTAGCTTCAGTATTTCATTGATTCTAAGATGGTGAGACATTGTCTTTTTTTTTTTTTTTTTTTTTTTTGAGGCTGTCTCACTCTGTCACCCAGTCTGGAGTGCAGTGGTGCGATCTCAGCTCACTGCAACCTCCGCCTCCCAAGGTCAAGCAATTCTTCTGCCTCAGCCTCCAGAGTAGTTGGGAATCCAGGCGTGCACCACACCCAGTTAATTTTAGTATTTTTAGCAGAGACGGGGTTTCACCATGTTGGCCACGCTGGTCTCAAACTCCTAACCTCAAGTGATCCACCCGCCTCGGCCTCCCAAAGTGCTGGGATTACATGTGTGAGCCACTGGCCTATTTTCTCATATGTAACCACTCTGAAATTGAAATGAATCTTACAATCAATGACATGTCATAGAGCAATCAATTGTATGTGTGTGTGTATGTGTTTTTTTGTTTGTTCTTTTTTTTTTTGAAACAGGGTCTCACTCTGTCCTCCAGACTGGAGTGCAGTGGCGGATCTCAGCTCACTGCAACCTCCGCCTCCTGGGTTTAAGCAATCCTCCCACCTCAGCCTCCCAAGTATTAGGGACTACAGGCATGTGCCACCATGCCTAATTTTTGTAGAGATGGGGTTTTGCCATGTTGCCCAGACTAGTCTTGAACCCCTGGACTCAAGTGATCTACCCGTCTTGGCCTCCCAATAATGCTGAGATTACAGGCATGAGCCACTGTGCCCAGCAATAGTATTTTTCAAATAATACATAAAATAATGATGCCTCTTACAATCTATGGCATCTTATAGTGGATGAAATGGAGTATATTATAATGATGATGCTGAGTATATGTTTACCCTGTCACCGTGCCTCCACACAACAGATCCACAAAGAACAGACCAAATCTACTCTAACCCTGATCTCCTGAGTAACATTTCCAACCTTAACACGTGGACTGCCAACTCTTCAAATTCAACATATCCAACACCCAAATCATCTCCCCAGAAGTTGTTATTCTTTCTTTCTATGCTTCGTATCCCAATTAATGAGTGACACCATAATGGAAAACTTGACTTTTTCTACAATTCTTCCCTGTCCCTCAGTTGGAATTTCTACAATCCATTATATTTTTTCTGTTTTAGAAATTATCCATTTGTGTCTTGCATCATGCTTAGCTGTACACATGGCTGTCACCCTTTCTTTGCCCTCAATTTCTTGAGGGCAAGGCCCACTTCTTCCTCATTTTTATATACCCAGGGTGACAAGTTCAATGCCTCACCCATAGTTAAGTGCTCAATAAATGTTTATGGAACTGATCATATCCTGTTTGTTTATAAGTTTCAAAACAGTTAAGTCTCTACAAACAAGATATAAAAAGGACTGAGAGTAAAAGTTACTATACAATAGAATTTCAAACACATGATCTTAAGAGTGTAATTCTCATCAACTTTATGAAGGTACATGGGGCAGATGTTAACACTTCCATTTTAAAATTGTGGCTTGGTAGTCAAGAGGCTTGCCAAAAGCTTTCACTGGTAGAAAAAGGATTCAAACAAATCAAAGTAGAAACCCAGTGCTTTCAGTTTATAAACTTCTATACTTCTGCCCCTTCCTCGGTCTTATTCCCGCTAACTTTCCACCTTATGTTGCCTACAAGGCCCTATAGTTTTGTTTTTTGTTTCTCTGAGATGGAGTTTCGCTCTTTCACCCAGGCTGGAGTGAGATGGCGCACTCTTGGCTCACTGAAATCTCCGCCCCTGGGTTGAAGAGATTCTCCTGTCTCAGCAGGATCCTGAGTAGCTGGGATTATAGGCACCGGCCACCACGCCCGACTAATTTTTTTTTAATTTTTTTTAAATAGAGATGGGGTTTCGTCATGTTGGCCAGGCTGCGCTGTGGCTCATGCCTGTAATCCTAGCACTTTGGGAGGCCGAGGCGGGTGGATCACCTGAGGTCAGGAGCCCCAGCTTCATCTTAATCCATATTTTCCCTTTCTCTTGGAATATTGGCTATACTTGCCTTCTCTCAGATCCTTCTCCCACTGCAAGGCCTTTGCACATACTATTTCCTCTGCCTAGAATATTCTTCTCCTTCTCTCGATAGTGTCCTCTTCTTCTAGATCTCAGTTCAGTCTTCACTTCATTAGGGAGGACTTCTCTGATCTGTGTAGGTAACTTTCCTTAACACATGTTCTTATAATAACATGTACTCTCGTTTATAGCACAAATCAGTTGTATTTTTTCCTACTCGTAATTTTATATTAATTTGTATGATTCTTCCTTGTTTAATGTCTAACTCCTCCGTAGTCCTACTAGTCTATATAAACTTCCAAGAAGGAAAGGGGTTTTTTCCTCACCATTCCTCCCCAAGTGCCTAGCACAACAGTTGTGGGGTTTTTTTGTTTTTGTTTGTTGGTTTGTTTGTTTGAGACAAACTCTTGCTCTGTCTCCCAGGCTGGAGTGCAGTGGTGCGATTTCAGCTCACTGCAATCTCTGCCTCCTGGGTTCAAGCGATTCTCATGCCTCAGAGTCCCGAGTAGCTGGGATTACAGGCGCCTGCCACCACGCCCAGCTAATTTTTTTATTTTTAGTAGAGACGGGGTTTTGTCATGTTGGCCAGGCTGGTCTCAAACTCCTGATCTCAAGTGATCTACCCGCCTCAGCCTCCCAAAATGCTGGGATTATAGACATGAGCCACCACACCCGGCCCAATAGTTGTTGAAAGAATAAATGAATGAACCCTTTGCACTCTCCTCAAGCTCTCTAAATCATCCCCACCACCTCACTATCAGCTGATAATTTTGCATCCTACTTTACAAAAGAAATCAGTTATCATCTCTCCCTTCCCCATCTCATCTTGACTTTCCCCTTCTTACAGATTCCTTCCCTTCAAGCTACAAAATACTCAAATTTCTTCTTAAGACTACTCTTTTTTTTTTTTTTTTTTTTGAGACAGAGTCTTACTTTGTCAACCAGGCTGGAGTGCAATGGTGTGATCTCAGCTCACCGCAACCTCTGCTTTCTGGGTTCAAGCATTTCTCCTGCCTTGGCCTCCCAAATAAGTGGGATTATAGGCATGCAGCACAATGTCTGGCTAATTTTTTTTTTTTATATATTTTTAGTAGAGACGGGGTTTCACCATGTTGGCCAGACTGGTCTCGAACTCCTGACCTCAAGTGATCCACCCACCTTGGCCTCCCAAAGTGCTGGGATTACAGGCGTGAGCCACCACGCCTGGCCTTTAAGACTACTCTTAACCCTACTCTTCACTGCAGAACTTCTGAATGTGTAGCCTACACTTGCTCATTCCACTTCTTTACTGCCCAAATACTCATCAGCTACTATAATACACTGCCTGCCCTCACATTACCCAAATGAAACTGTCCTTGTTTTCAAATCCAATGATCTCTTCATTTTTTCCTAAACCTCAACAAGTCTCCTTCACCTCTATCATCTGATCATTCCTTCTTGAAACTCGCTGTACTCTAGGCTACAGACCCTAACACAACACTCTCCATTTTCCTACAGTTCTGACCACATCTATCAACTCCTCTTCTGCCCATTCCTATACACTGGAGTTCCTTGGCGGCAGCATCAGCCCCTTTTTCTCCTTTCTGACCCTCCATAAGTATTTTAATTCAAGCTAATGTCTTTATTACCAAATACCTGCAACTTCCATATATTTATCTCTAACAGATTTCTCTACTAAGCTACAAACCTACATTTGGGTTACCATTTTCAAGGATCATCTGCAATGAGACTGATACATTCAATTCAATATATCTCACATGTAACTTATCTCACAGATCCCACAAACTCAACGGAACCCAACTTTCCTCCCTCTCTTTGTATTTTCTTCCTCAACTGAGAAGTCTAGGCTGGACACAGGGGCTCACGCCTGTAATCCCAGCACTTTGGGAGGCTGAAGCAGACAGATCACTTGAGTCCCAGGAGTTCGAGACAAGCCTCAGCCACATGGCAAAACCTTGTCTCTACACAAATGGCAGGGCACGGTGGCTCATGCCTGTAATCCCAGCACTTTGGGAGGCTGAGGCGTGTGGATCACCTAAGGTCAGGAGTTCAAGACGTGGCCGGGCGCGGTGGCTCATGCCTGTAATCCCAGCACTTTGGGAGGCTGAGGCAGGCAGATCACGAGGTCAGGAGATTGAGACTATCCTGGCTAACACGGTGGAACCAGGAGATTGAGACTATCCTGGCTAACACAGTGGAACCCCGTCTCTACTAAAAGTACAAAAAAAATTAGCCAGGCGTGGTGGCGGGCGCCTGTAGTCCCAGCTACTCGGGAGGCTGAGGCAGAAGAATGGCGTGAACCCGGGACGCAGAGCTTGCAGTGAGCCAAGATCGTGCCACTGCACTCCAGCCTGGGCAACAGAGTGAGACTCTGTCTCAAAAAAAAAAAAAGGAGTTCAAGACTAGCCTGGCCAGCACGGCAAAACCCCATCTCTACTAAAAATACAAGAAATTAGCCAAGCATGGTGGCGCACACCTGTAGTCCCAGTTACTTGGGAGTCTGAGGCAAGAGAATCGCTTGAACCCAGGAGGCAGAGGTTGCAGTGAGCCGAGATCGCACTCTGCACTACAGCCTGGAGGACAGAGGGAGACCCTGCCCCCCGACAAAAAAAAAAAAAATTAGCTGGGTGTGGTGGCACACACCTGTAGTTCCAGCTACTCAGGAGGCTAAGGTAGGAGAATCACCTGAGCCCTGGAAGTTGAGGCTGCAGTGAGCTGGGATCAAATCACTGCACTCCAGCCTGGGAAACAGAGTGAGACTATCTCAAAAAAGGTGAGATTCTGTCTCAAAAAAAGAGAGAGAGAGAGAGGTCTAGGAAGACTTTCAGCTCCCTGTCTTAGATGAATAGATATCATAAAGCTGGATGAAGAATATTAATACTGTTTTTATATTAAAATAAGTACTCATTCTATGCCTGGGACAGTACTAATCACTTTCACAACAATTATGTCAGCAATACTTTGCTATAGGTATTTTCACCATCACTGGTACTACTACCCTAACAAATATATGAATTTTAAAGATGTGGAAATTAAGGTTTAATGAGATGAGGTAACATATGGAAAGGCAGACAACTCACAGCGTTGGAGCTGATATATTCACCAAGCCATGTCTGTCTAAAACCAAAGCTTTTAACATCTACCTTATATCACAGTGGTTAAAGCATAGCAAGAGTATAAGCTGTAAAAATGGGCTAAAGAATACAATCAGATAGATTCTGGCCAGGCACAGTGGCTCACGCCTGTAATCCTAACACTTTGGGAGGCTGAGGCGGGCGGATTACATGAGCTCAAGAGTTTGAGACCAGCCTGGGCAACACGGTGAAACCCCATCTCTACCAAAAATAAAAAAATTAGCCGGGCATGGTGGTGAGGGCCTGTAATCCCAACTACTCGCGAGGCTGAGGCACAAGAATCGCTTGAACCAGGGAGGTGGAGGTTTCAGTGAGCCGAGATAGCACCACCGCACTCCAGCCTGAGCTACAAAGTGAGACTCTGTCCCCAAAAAAAAAAAAAAAGATAGATTATGAAGATTAAGATTACAAAAGGAGAGCACCATTCCAAAGAGTGACATGCTCTCTGGTGTAATTGTGGGAATGGAGGGCTGAAGTGAGGTAGACATACAGGTTTATATCTATCATTTACCCCCCTTTCCTTGGCAAGCAGATTTCCTCTATCCTTTTGCAGACAAAGTCTCTAAAATTTGCTTCATAACTAATTTGGCTCATGTAAGTAATCTAGCCTTTCGAATCATCTTTGCCCCAACTCTAATTATATAAAAGCAATTATCTTCCCACTGTCCAACTGCCAGCCCCTTATTGGTTGCTAGGCAGATCTCCCTCCCTGCCCTCTAACCTCTTCTCAACATCATTTACAATGAAACGCTATAGAAATCAATAAAGCAAACAGTTGCAAGAGAAAATTGACAGCCCAACACAATCCACAGGCCTGTCTTCTACAGCTCTAAAGAAGCACTTACTATAGCAAAAGAGAGAACCAAGCAGCAGCAGGAAAACAACACTCTTCTTTTTGGAAACCTATATTTCCTAATGACTAAGAATTGCTTCTCCCTACTTACAGGATAAAAATAGACCTTACACCTTAGCACAAACTTCCTCCTGTCACATTTTTACCACATATTTTATCACCAAAGGATTCATCAGCACAAAAAAAAAAGATTTCATGATTCTTTTTCCTTTGATTCTATTGGCCTTTCTCACACACCCAGTGGATAATTATTTCTGGACATCACACTTGAGAAAGTACATTTCATTTTTACTAAAGATAACAAAAGAATTTTTTAATGTACTTTATAAAGGTGAACACAACATTTTAACCATATGCTTACATTTTTATTCCATTTCCCAGTAATCAAAGAAAAGACTGCAACAAAACAGGAAATGCAAAGCTGGTTATCTAACCTTCCTCATCCAGAGCAGTTACACCTAATATAGTATATGAAAGGAAACAGGAGAGGGAGGATTAAGAAAGGTTGATTAAAGAGTACAAAAATACAGTTGGATAAATGGAATAAGATCTAGTATTCGATAGTTCAGTAAGATGATTACAGTTAATGAAAATCTATTGTAGATTTCCAAATAGCCAGAAGAGAATTCCAGTGTTCCCAGTATGAAAGATGTTTGAGGTGACAGATATCCTAATTGCCCTGAATTGATCATTAACACATTATATGAATTTATCTAAATATGACACATATCCCCAAAACACATACATCTATGACATATCAATTTAAAAAAAAAAAACAAAGGGGCCAGGCATGGTAGCTCACACCTGTAATCTCAGCACTTTGGGAGGCGGAGGCAGGAGGAGGCCTTGAGCCCAGGAGTTTGAGACCTGAGACCTGCCTGGACAGCATAGTGAGACCCCATCTCTACAAAAAAAAATTAATAAATAAAATTTTAAATGAAGGAAATAGGGCTTATTTTTGAAGAGCCATAGAAAAATAAATTTCACAGCTTTTCTGTGGCAGTTCAAATTTCATCAAGAAATTTTAATTTATGTTTAATCTAAATCACTCCTGCTATAATTCAAGTGCCTCCAATTTCTCCCCACATAATCTAATCTACACTGTCATGAGATTAAGAAATACATTAAATAAATAAACAACAGTATATGCATCTAACAAGATACTACATAGCAACGAAAATCAATGAACTAACTGCCACACACATCAAGTGGAAGAATCTGACAAACATGTTAATCAAAATAAACTAGCCTGGGGTAGGGAACAGTGGCTCATGCATGTCACCTCAGAACTTTGGGAGTCCCAGAGAGAAGGACTGCTTGAAGCCAGGAGTTCGACACCAGCCTGGGCAACATAGGGAGACCCATCTCTACAAAAAAATTTTCAAAAATTAGCCAGGTGTGGTGGCACATGCTTGTAGTCCCAACTACTTAGGAGACGGAGACGGGAGGATCTCTTGAGCCCAGGAGTTTGAGGCTACAGTGAGCTATGATCACATCACTGCACTCCAGTCTGGGCAACAGAGTGAGACTTCTTTCTTTAAAAAACTATACTTGAGACCAGGCATGGTGGCTCACACCTGTAATCCCAACACTTTGGGAGGCCAAGGCGGGTGGGTCACCTGAGGTCAGGAGTTTGAGACCAGCCTGGCCAACATGGTGAAACCCTGTCTCTACTGAAAATACAAAAATTAGCTGGGCGTGGTGGCGGGCACCTGTAGTCCCACCTACTTGGGAGGCTGAGGCAGGAGAATCTCTTGAACCTGGGAGATGGAGGTTACAGTGGGCCAAGATTGAGCCACTGCATTCCAGCCGGGGTAAAAGAATGAGACTCCATCTCAAAAAAAAAGGAGCCAGGCACAGTGGTTCATGCCTGTAATCCCAGCACTTTGGGAGGCTGAGGCGGGCAGACCACTTGACTCCACAGGTTGAAGATTAGCCTGGGTAAAGTGACAAAACCCTGTCTCTACAAAAAATACAAAAATTAGCCATGTATGGTTGCACAAGCATACAGTCCCAGCTACTCAGGAGGCTGAGGTGGAAGAATCACCTGAGCTTGGCAAGATTGAGGCTGCAGTGAGCCCTGATTAGCACCATGGCACTCTAGCCTAAGCAACAGAATAAGAACCTGTCTCAAAAAAAAAGAGAAGGTATATATAAAATACCCCCAAACTCAAAGACTCTTGCTTTAAATGCACAGTGGCTCATGACTATAATCCCAGCATTTTAGGAGGCTGAGGCAGAAGGATTGCTTGAGCCCAAGAGTTCAAGACCAGCCTGGGCAACATAGCAAGACCCCATCTCTAAAAAAAATTTTTTTTTAATTAGCCAAGCATGGTAGTTCACACCTGTAGTCCCAGGTACTCAGAAGGCTGAAATGAGCATATCACTTGATCCCAGGAGGTCGAGGCTGCAGAGAGCCATGTTCGCACCATTGCACTCCAGCCTGGGCAACAGAGCAAGATCCAGTCTCAAAAAACTAATCATAAAATAAGGCTGGGCGTGGTGGCTCACATCTGTAATCCCAACACTTTGGGAGGCCGCAGTGGGCAGATCACTTGAGGTCAGGAGTTAGAGACCAGCCTGGCCAACATGGTGAAACCCCATCTCTACTAAAAATACAAAAATTAGCTAGGCGTGGTGGTGGACACCTGTAGTCCCAGCTACTCAGGAGACTGAGTCAGGAGAATCGCTTGAACCTGGGAGGCAGAGGTTGCAGTAAGCTGAGATTGCACCACTGCACTCCAACCTGGGCAACAGAACGAGACTCCATCTCAAAAACAAAACAAAAAAAAAACAGTAATAATAACAATGTGAAAATAAATGTTAAAACAAGACAGTGCAGTTATTTCCCTACTCAAGGAAGAACTTAATTTATTCTGCTTATTCCAAATCAGACCTAATAATCCTAATGGATTATTTGAGTTTATATAAGAACACTGTATAACAGACATTTTAAAACCTATCTAGATTCCGTGGCCTCTTATCTACAATACAGATTTGTGTCATAAACATGCACAGAGAAAGTATCCAACAAATATTTACTAATGATACACAGCCCAAACTTTAAACAAACTCAAAGTCTGAAATACACAGCACAGGTAAATAGGATAAAAATTAAGCTTATTGGCCTAAAGAGCCCAACTTTCAGAAACCCCATTTTTAGAAACTAAATTACAGAATACGCTACTTATAAGGAACAGAACAGTTTATAACAATAGCATAGCAGAGCAAATTGGTCCTTTCCCCCATCACTGCCTGGCTCACACAAAGCACAATCAACTTCCTGAGGCCCTAAGTGAAAGGAACACAGCCACAGCTCTGCTCTAAGGGCAGGGACTACTAGAACCACGATCGATGGAAGCCCAGCAAAAAGGAGTTAGCTGAGGCAGATGACAATAACATTCAGCAGGGGGTGGCAGGATGGGGGAAGGAGATGAGAAGTATCTGACCAACCTATACCTATGTCTGAAAACTCTAATATCATTACCATTCCTACTTTCCACAATGGCTGTAAACCGAAATATATTTTTGGACTTTCCCTAGAGTAGAATCAATGCACAATCAACGTGTCTAGTTAGATGGATGATTAATGATAAGCCATGAACTTTTTGAGATGGCTCTGTTACCCAGGCTAGAATGCAGTGGCATGAACATGGCTCACTACACCCTCAATCTCTTGGACTCAAGCCATCCTCCTGCCTCGCCTCCCAAGTAGCTGAGACTACCGGCATGCGTCAACACGCACAGCTAATTTTTAAATATTTTTTTAGTAGGAATGGGGTCTTGCTATGTTGCCCAGGCTGGTCTCAAACTCCTGGATGCAAGTGATTCTCTTGCCTCAGCCTCCCAAAGTACTGGGATTACAGGCATGAGCCACCTCACCTGTCCAGTAACGAGTTTTTTAAAGGGCAAATCATAATATAAATCAACTTGGTCCTGTTACCATTCACCAGTGACATTGTTTTGTTCTGTTTTAAAAATGCAGTCGGGCACAGTGGCTCACACCTGTTAATCCCAACACTTTAGGAGACTGAGACAGGCAGATTGCTTGAGCCCAGGAGTTCAAGACCACCCTGGGAAACATAGCAAAACCCTGTCTCTACAAGAAAGCCTGTAGTTCCAGCTACTCAGGAGTCTAAGGTGAGAGCATCACCTGAGCCCAGGGAGGTCAAGACTGCAGTGAGCCGTGATCATGCCACTGCACCCCAGCCTGGGCAACAGAGTGAGACCCTGTATCAAAAAAAAAAAAAAAAGCAAGTAATACATGTTCATATGGAAAATAAAATACAAATAAGAAAGAAAAGTACATGGAAATCACAGGTCAAACTTACTTACAAGAGCAGAGTCTTTGGTCTTTTCAACAGGCATAGAAAAATATTACCTGCTGCTGAAGGATCTGCCTCTAATTGAGGATGTTGATCTGAGACACCGAGGCATTTGGTCCAACTGAGTATAATTATATGCCAAAGAAAACAGCAATGAGAAAATTACACATAAAGTCCAGGTGGAAAGCTAATTGGAGATCTCCAAACATATAACAAAAACCATCTATGGAGTGGGAGGAGGGTAAGGACTGAAAACTACCTATTTGGGTATTATGCTGATTACCTGGGTGACAAAATTATCTGTATATGAAACCCCTGCAATATGGCAATATGCAATTTACCCATGTAACAAACCTGCATATGTACCCCTTGAACTTAAAAGTTGGAAAGAAAAAAATTAATAATAAAAAAACTGGTCAGGTGCAGTGGCTCACACCTGTAATCCTAGCATTTTGGGAGGCCAAGGTGGGCAGATCACTTGAGTCCAGAAGTTCAAGACCAGCCTGGGCAAAATAGGGCAATTCCATCCTACAAAAAGTAGAAAAATTAGTCAGGCATGGTGGCATGCACTTGTAGTCCCAGCTACTCAGGAGACTGAGATGGGAGGACAGATTGAGCCCAGGAGTTTGAGGATGCAGTGAGCCACGATCGTACTACTGCACTCCAGCCTGGGTGACAATGCAAGACCCTGTCTCAAAAATAAAAACAAATGTTTAAAAACCATCTACAGGCTGGACGTGGTGGCTCACGCCTGTAATCCCAGCACTCTGGGGGGCCGAGGAGGGCAGATCACAAGGTCAGGAGTTCAACACCAGCCTGGCCAACATAGTGAAACCCCCTTCTCTACTAAAAATACAAAAAAAAAAAAAAAAAAAAATTAGCCAGGCATGGTGGCAGGCACCTGTAATCCCAGCTACTCAAGAGGCTGAGGCAGGATAATTGCTTGAACCCAGGAGGCAGAGGTTGCAGTGAGCAGAGAGGGCGCCACTGCACTCCAGCCTGAGCAACAGTGTGAGACTCCATCTCAAAAAAAAAAAAAAAAAAACCTACAAAGATGTTCATTGTAGCACTGTTTGTAATAGTGAAAAGAAAAATATCCTGAATATCATCAATATAAAACTGTTTAAATTATGTATGCTTATATAACAGAATACTCTGCAGCCATTCAAAAGAATGGTATAGACCAGGGTGTCCAACCTTTTGGCTACCCTGGGCCACAGTGGAAGAAGAATTATCTCGGGCCATGCATAAAATACATTAACACTGGCCAGGCGCTCATGCCTGTAATCTCAGCACTTTGCAAGGCCAAGGCAGGCGGATCATGAAGTAAGGTGATCGAGACCATCCTGGCTAACAAGGTGAAACCCTGTCTCTACTAAAAATACAAAAAATTAGCCAGGCGTGGTGATGGGCGCCTGTAATCCCAGCTACTTGGGAGGCTGACAGGAGAATCGCTTGAACCCAGGAGGCAGGGGTTGCAGTGAGCTGAGATCGCGCCACTGCACTCCAGCCTGGGCGACACAGCGAGACTGTCTCAAAAAATAAAAATAAAATAAAAAAAATACACTAACACTAATGATAGCTGACAAATCTCATAATGTTTTAAGAAAGTTTACAAATTTGTGTTGGGCCACATTCAAAGCCGTCTTGGGCCACATGCAGCTCACATGCCACAGGCTGGACAAGCTTGGTTTAGACTCAGATGACCTGACAGGAAAATAGATCATTGAGGTTAAAAAACAAAAAAAGCTGAAGAATGCTATGTACATTCAACTGCAGAACCTATATACTCATCTGCAATGAAAATTTCCAGAAGGATAGGTAAGAGACAGTAAACAGTAGTTACCTCTGGGAAGTAAGAATACCGAATGGGGACAAGAGAACTTTTCCTTCTACTTTACACTCTAAACTGTTTCAACTTCTTATCTGTATATTTATCACCTTATAATAAAAACAAAATGAAAACAATGAATTAAAAAGTTAACAATAGTTGGGTGTGGTGGTGTGTTCCTTGTAGTCCCAGCTACTCGTGATGCTGAGAAAAGACAGTCACTTGAGCCCAGGAGTTCAAATCCAGCCTAGGCAACATAGTGAGATCCCATCTTTAAAAAAAAAATTAAATTTAAAAAAAAAGTTAGCAATGGTATTGGCAGGTGGTAGGCCCATGGAAATTTTTTTCTTTTTTTGTACTTTTCTGCATTTTTTAAATTTTCTATAATTAGCAATGTATTACCATACACATATTTTTTTTGAGACAGGGTCTCACTTCGTCACCCAAGCTGGAGTACAGTGGCATGATCTTGGCTCACTGCAACCTTGCCTCCTGGGTTCAAGCAATTCTCATGCCTCAGCCTCCCAAGTAGCTAGGATTACAGGTGAGCACCACCACACCTGGCTAATTTTTGTATTTTTAGTAGAGATGGGGTTTCACCACGTTGGCCAGGCTGGTCTCAAACTCATGTCCTCAAGTGATCCACCTGTCTCAGCCTTCCAAAGTGCTGGGATTACAGGCAAGAGCCACCACGACTGGCCTGCATTTATTACTTTTGGGGGAAAAAAATCCATAGTTAAATTATCTAACTATGTTATAAACACTGGGAATAACTATGTTATAAACACTGGGAATTACAGAGAAATATTATGGAAAGGTCTGATTCTAAAAATGCTTATAATTGCTTGGAGAAACTTGGTCGTGAATACCAAGACAATAAAAGTCAAACAAAATCCTTAATTTAGTTTACTGCAGTTGTTCATGTGGCACTGGTCCCTATGGAAGCCCAAAAAAAGTATCCGTATTATAAGTAAAGCTGTGCCAAAACATGTTAAAGACTTATATTTCTTTATACTTATGGAAATATTTAAAGAAAGACTAAGTGAATTCTATAAAAGAGTGGTTTCTTAAAAATTCAAGTCTAGGCCGGGCGCAGTGGCTCACGCCTGTAATCCCAGCACTTTGGGAGGCCGAGGTGGGCAGATCACGAGGTCAGGAGTTTGAGACCAGCCTGGCCAACATGGTGAAACCCCGTCTCTACTAAAAATACAAAAAATTAGCCAGGCATGGTGGCAGGCGCCTGTAATCCCAGCTACCCCAGAGGCTAAGGCAGGAGAATCGCTTGAACCTGGGAGGCAGAAGTTGCAGTGAGCTGAGATCATGCCACTGCACTCCAGCCTGGGCAACAGAGACTCCATCTCAAAAAATTAAAAAAAAAAAAAAAAAAAAATTCAAGTCAATCACCCGCTGAATGGTCAATATCCCCTTTAGAATCCTTACCACTCATTCAATTTCTGTTTAGTGTCAAAAAATCTACATAGCCCATTCCATTTGTTCTGAACAACCCAACTGTTCTTCTTTATGTTAAGCTAAAATCTAATTTCCTGTCATTTTCAACCACTGATCCACACTTGTCCCAGTTCTGTCCTCTGGAATGACAACAAAAAAGGTGACATAACTTCTACAAGACAGTTTTTTAAACAGTCTTCATGTACTATCGTGATCCTCTTCCTCTTAAATCTTCTACAACTAAATTTCCCATATTCTTCAAATGGTTCGGTTCCTACATGTTTCATTATTCTAATCACTCCCCTCTTAAGATAACCTAGCTTCTCAATATGCTTCTTAGAAGGAAATACCACAGCTGAACACAAAATTCCAGATCTGATCTGACCAGTGCAATTACTTCCTTTGTCTGGGTCACCATAAGCACCACAATACAAGACCAGTTGCAGGCAGCATATGATTCATTTCCAAACTAGTGGCACTGTTCAGACCACAAGTGCTCCGAGGATTTAAAGGAAAAAGAGATCACTGTGGACTGGGGACCTGAAGAAGTTTTCAACAACAAAAAAAGTAGACTGTTAGCTGGGAAAGTAAGAATACATTTTAGATAGGCAGAAAATATGGAACGAGTATTTCAGGGGGCACAAGTGCAGAACAGAGCAGAGGCAGGAATAAACAAAGTTAGTGCTAGAGCAAAGTCTGCATAAGGATAGGCAAGAATAGAAGGCCACAAGTCTGGAGTCAGAGTATTGAGAGCCTTAAACCTGCAGGCAATAAGGCATGATTAAAGGGCAAGACAAAATAACTGACTTCTTGAATGAAATGTTTAGGAATGATTAATTCAATACCAGTTTGCCAATTTCTACATCAAGTTAACTACTTTTTGAACTCTGCATAGGAAGTTTCTAATTGATTCTACTCCAAGATGAATTGAAATTGAGTTGTAATAAATATCACTATATAGACTGCTTTCAGAATACAACATTCCTACTGCCAAAATACAACGCAAGGAATGTCATTTTAGAAAGATGTATTTTGTGCTGGGTGCAGTGGATTATGCCTCTAATCCCAGCACTTTGGAAGGCCAAGGCAGATGGATCACTTGAGGTCAGAAGTTCAAGACCAGCCTAGCCAACACAGTGAAACTCTGTCTCTACAAAAAATACAAAAATTAGCCGGGCCTGGTGGTTCACTCCTGTAATTCCAGCTGCTCGGGAGGCTGAGGCATGAGAATCACTTGAACCCAGGAGGTGGAGGTTGCAGTGAGCCAAGATCGCAGCACTGCACTCCAGCCTGGGTGACAGAATGAGACTCTGTCTCAAAAAAAGAAAAAGAAATAAAAATAAAGATGTATTTCAATTCATTTCTGTAAGTTTTCCCAAAATGAATACTTTGCCATTCAATATGAATATCTGCATATAAGGTACCTGTTTGTTTCAGTATTTAAAATCTTCTAGATCTCTATTCAAAAAGACAATGGCCTGCTGATCTCGTTTCTCCAGATTCAAAAAAGAAGAAACTTCACTAAAGTAACATTAAAAAGGAAAGAAGTTAGCTAAATAGCAGAATTTCTAGACAATGAAACCTGCCTGCTATTAAAACAAATGAAAACACCAGTAGTTATATAAATTCAGTTAAATAGGAATTTCTGATTCACGAGTGCTCCTGCCTAAAGAGTCTTTCATAAGGACCAGCTCTGTAATACAGTGTGGCCGTAGAGAATTAAACTGTCCAAGAGACACAGCAAAGTCCAACCTCTCCCAAATCCTGCTACTCAGCAGCAGGGATCTAAAGGAATAAATAGATTCCCAGCTGCTGAGAGAAAATGTCTTACTAAAAGCAAAGCAAAATTCTCATTAATGAAAAATCAACCATGAAAGAAGAAAAACTGTATATCTCATAATCCCGGGAAATGGCCAAATCCATTTTGGTTAATGCAGATTCAACAAAATAGTGGAAGAGAACAGAGCAAAGCAGTTTCATCTGCCAGTAGCTGGGGGAAACATCGTTATTGGAGAAATCACAAACAACAACAATGCTTCTAATCTGTAGAGCCAAAAGAAATATGAACTCTCCAGTAAAAGATATCAGGTAAAGGCTCTAGTTGATAAATGCTCTCTCATTCATAATCAAGACACATCAGATATGATAGGCTGTAACCTGAATTTCCCGAGATCAAATTCAATGGCTAATCCAAACCCTGTGTTTTCCTGATCAGATAATCTCTCTGAAGTCACAGTACTTGCATTCATTCAAAACCAGCATTAAGCTTCTACTACGTCAGACACCAGGAATACAAAAACTAATAAGAAACAGTCTCTACCCACATAGAACTTAGTTCGCGTACCATGCCTCATCTTAAACCCCAAAGCTCTTGCTTTAAGATATCTTCTTAGATGGGTCAAGTGTCCTCAGGGGAAAAGCAATAATGGCCCTTCACCTTGAGTTACTGTGAGGCAAGCTAAAATAAAAATAAAAATAAATCATACCTCTTATCCTCAAAAGCAGTCACCACATCCTCCCAAGTGGAACAGAAGAATAATCTTAGCCTATACTACCGGTTAGTGTTCAGGGAAGTGGCAGGGGACAAGACAAGCAATAGAAGGGATGTGACAGCTGTACCACTAACGCATTCAAAGTGTGATAAAAAGAACCTGCTACTAAGCATACTGTAGCGTTACGGTGCGAGGAGGAGGAAAAGAATGAGAGGCTGCCCACCATTCACAGGCACCAACCATCCGCGGTCTTCTAACTCGTCCACTCTCACTAGAGAACCCCAGTCACTGTTTAATAGGATCTGAGCCTGCAGTCCAACAACATTGTCACATGGCTACCAGAATGGAGAGCTAATCGTCCCTTGCAGGAGCTTGGGGGAAAACAAGAAAGTGGAAAGAACTCAAGTGATTGTTAAGTGATTGCCAAAATAATAGACCCCCAAAGCACGGACGGGATGTAAAGTTTGGGTGAGACGGTCACCGGACGTCCACTGGAAGGGTGCGGGGACCTCTACGCCGACACCCCGCCTCCCCGCCTCAGTCCGCGCACTCACCGCGCACGCAGAGCAGTGACATGGCCGAGGATCGGGCAAGCCTCTGCCGCGCCCCAGCCGCGCCGGACCGCTCCCTCTTTCCTCTCAGCAGGTGCCGCGACTGCTCTCGTTACCGGCCCCACGGGTCTGGCAGCTCCTCATGGTCCCGGTCGCAGGTAGCGTCCCGCCGCTGCCTCGGACCCGCCCCAAATCTCACCGTCTGAGCGAACTCCGGGTAGCGGTGAGTACCGGCCGGCAGGCTGGGGACTGGGCGCGGCACAGCGACGCCATCGCTGGGAGGTAGGAGCTGCCGGGACTCCCTCCCGTCATTCCACCCGGGATCCGCGCGAGCGCCTGGGCGGAGCCAACCCGTGGTGCCCCGCCCCCCAGCCAATTAACTCACGCCCAGTCCACCGACCCCGCCCCCCCCCGCGAGCACGTAGGAGGCGGGGTCCCCTTCCTCCTTTCTTTCTTGCGATCCTGAAGGAAGCTCCGCCCACTAATCAGGCTTACTGCAGGGAGCAAGGGGTTGACCCTCAGTTGTGTGACGCGAGAATGGAAGCCCTCTGTTCCTCCTGCATGAGCGGGGCTTCCACCCAAGAACAGATTCTTTTCATTGAAGGATTTCCACTGGACTTTCTTAGAGTCTAGCGGTCATAGCTGACAGCCTGTAATTTTAAGTTAACGAAGTCGCACCGCACAGCAAAGTTAAGTTTTGTTTAGCAACTAGGGCAAAAGACAAAACTGAGTGGGCATAAAGTATGTCTGGAGACCTCAGTTCTTATCTAGACCGTTTTTTATGCTCATCATT